>NC_000002.12:22661270-22812785 GCF_000001405.40 Homo sapiens | reverse complement strand
TTTCAGTAAAATATTTGAAGACTACAAGAATAATTTATAGCTTTAAATCATTAGAAAAGATGGATTATAGAAATCTTTATTAGTCCAATAGCAATCAGGTAAAATAAAAAGGAAAGCAAAGAAATGATAAACAAATTGTAAAAGTTCCTGTGATATACACTTTACCTAAGAGAAGAGAAAAAAAAAGAGAAAAATCTCTCAACTTATTCTACAAGACATGTAAATTTTGTGCCTAAATAAGAAAATTCTGGTACGAGACAAAAATAGAACAGTTTCACTTTTGATTTTCCATTCAAAGGTCATAAATACATGCCAGGGAATACAATTCAGCAGTGTGTTAAATAATAACAAACTATGACAAAATAGATTTTTATCTCAATAATGTGCATGTACCTCAATATTAGGAACTATATTAATGGTAACAATTTCAGGAGCTTGACAGTATCCAATGTTGGCAAGCAAACACAGAATTATTCTGAAAAAAAAAGAACCTTTGTCCTATGACTGAAATAATTGCCACAAATAATTTTTTAAGGGCAGTGCACAGTGCAAAGTCAAAAGTAAGCACCAAACAAAGCACCATAAGAGTATTATTTTAATAAGGCAAAATTCTTTTAATATTACAAAATTAGTCAACGTAATTCATCACATTTAAATAAGTTGGAGACTAAAACTATATGAAGTCAGAAGCAGCATCCTATAAACTGTAACATACACTCAGGATTTAAAGAATAACATAGGAAATTAGGAATTGAATTTAAGAATCAATTGTTAGCTTCCTAGCAATCTATAGGAAACATGACATTGAATGGTGAAGTGTTGGAAGCCTCCCTCTGCCATTGGGAACAAACAGTGGTCAATGGTCACCACTTTTATTCATTATTGTACGGCAGGATCTAGATAGCGTGCCATCATCACCTTTCACCTGGGTGGCTGCAGCATTCTTATGCAGTTCTTGCTGAGAAAAGAATTAAAACATTTGTTGGATTGTGATAGTTGTCTGCTGAACTCTCTACAGTGACTCTTCATTTCAAAGTGGGGTAGAGGACTCTACATGTACTGGCTCTGTTATTTCTCCTTCTACTATTTTTTGCCCCTAGTCATGTTGTTTCAAACACCCTGACCTCCTTGGTATCTCCTAAACACACCAAGGCCTTTGCCTTGGTGTGTGTCCGCCTGGAAGACTCTTATTTTAGATATCTAATTGCCTGTAACTTTCATTATTGTTAAGTTTTTCCTCAATAGTCATCTTTAAAGGGTTACCCTGATGCTCCTATTTAATACTGTACCTCTCACCTCCAGGTCACCCTTATCTGATATTCTGTTTCCTGGAATTCATCACTATACAACATATTATATAATTTTTGTTATGTGTATTATGTATTGTTTATCTTCCTCTGGTATAGAATAGGCTTCACCAGGGCTGGGATCATGTCTGTTTTGCATCCCAAATGCCTAGAAATAGTACATTGCACTTAATAGGCATTCAAAAATATTTTTGAAATGATGAAATGAAGAAATTATGTGTGACAGCCAGACACATTTAGAAGTGTGTTTTGGAAAGTAAAACACAGAAACAGTGATGTCTGATGACTTTGGGCCTTTTGAATTGATTATCTGTATTTTGCAATGATCACTTTTTAGTATATACATTAGTAGCCTCTATTTTACTCATTTTAAATATTCTTTTTGTTCAGTAAGACTGTAAGCTATTAACAAGGAATATTATATCTAACACTCCTTGTGTATGTTCCAAAGTGGTGTGAGGGGCTGCTTTCTCAATGCTATTCAACTGGAAGGGCACGTCTGATTGATTTTACATGCCAAGCCTATAGTTTCAGGGGGCAAAGGCCCAACAAATTATTTACTGTACTAAATGAATATTCTTGACACACATAGTGTACTAAATGAATATTCTTGATGCACATAAATATATAAACACACATATGTGTGCATGCATACTGTGTGTATATATGTATGTATACATATACAGGAATATGCTTTGTTGACATTCCTGTTGTCTTGGCTAGGGTTCTGGCTCACGTTTACTTGAGAATCTCCTGAGAGCTCTTTCTGTCCCCAGTTTGCTCTTCTTTAAATTTGCTTTACATATATGAATTTATGGAATCCTAGCCAAAGAGGTAGGTGGTACTTTCATCTCCATGTTGCAGATGAAGAAAGTGAAACCAGGAAAGGATGAATATTTTTCCCAAGGTCATAGAACTACTAACTGGTAGTCTGAGATTTGATCCCAAGCACTGAGAGAGCTCTTTACCACATGTATAGATGCTTCCCAAGTCCACCAAAACTAAGAGATTCAAGTAAACACACAAGGAAGAAGGCAAACGGAGACACAATTAACTGAGTGGATGAAATCATTAAAGTTTACCTAGGTGAGCCCCTTCAACACAAGTGAGAAAACTGAAACTCAGAAAGGTTATGACTTTTCTTTCATACTGAAGCTACTAAGTGGCAGTTCTAAGCATTCTAAGGGTAGATTCCAAGTATCTTCAGCAACATAAATGAACTGGTACTTATGTCAGTGACTATATATATATGTGTGTGTATATAGGTGTGTATATATACATATATGTATATACATATACTTGAGAATATATACACATATACATGAGAATATATATACATATACATGAGAATATATATATATGTGTGTGTGTGTGTGTGTGTGTGTATATATATATATAGTCACTGACATAAGTACCAGTTCATTTATGTTGCTGAAGATATTTAGAATCTACCCTTAGAACTGCCACTTATTAGCTTCAGTAGGAAAGAAAAGTCATAACCTTTCTGAGTTTCAGTTTTCTCACTTGTGTTGAAGGGGCTTGCCTAAGTAAACTTTAATGATTTCATCCACCCAATTAATTGTGTCTCTGTTTGCCTTCTTGCTTGTGTGTTTACTTGAATCTGTTAGTTTTGGTGGACTTGGGAAGCACCTATACATGTGGTAAAGAGCTCTCCTAGTGCTTGGGATCAAATCTCAGACTACCGGTTAGTAGTTCTATGACCTTGGGAAAAATATTCATCCTTTCTTGGTTTCACTTTCTTCATCTGCAACATGGAGATGAGAGTACCACCTACCTCATTGGGTAGGATTCCGTAAATTCATATGCGTAAAGCATTTCAATGTCTGGCACATAGTAAGCATCAGATTAAGTTTTCTTCTTTTTTTCCTCTTGGAGAGTAAAGATGAATGTTGGAAAAAAATGAAAGGGGCTTTGAATGAATTCTCACACATGCACCTGTTTCTCAGACAAACCCCGTCATTAGTGTCTGCAACACATCCTGCTATTTCAGGCATCTGAATCTTCACACACGTTGTCCTCCTGCCTGAAAACTCCACATTTGGGTCAAATTCCATCATCCTCCCATGATCACCCCAAGGCTTACTCCTCCTGGGCACTCTGCCCTGCCACCTCCTCTGTGATTCTTGTCTTTCCTCCCTTTAAAGTGTTGATAAATTAAACACAAACTGAATATCAAAATTTAACTAATACTGGTTTCTCACTCAGTATTCAGCATTATGCTAATAACTTGATTTATATCATCTAGTTTAATCCTTCTCAAAAATGATGATATGAAATAGATGTTATTTCCAGTATTTACATATGAGAATGCTGAGGTGCAGAGACAAAAGTTGACTTCCCTAAATTCCCAGAAATAGTGAGTGGTGGAATTGGAATTTTACCATTTTATTCTTCAACCCATAGACATTTTTATACCGAACTGTGATTGTTGACTAAATTGTCTGTCCCTTCAACTAAATTAGAGGCATATTTTGGGATAAATTGTTATTTAGGCTTCATATACATAGTGCCTAGAACAGCTTCTGGCAAAATGTAGGTACACGGTTGATTGAAAGAAAGAATGAATGAACAGTGCATGAAGGAGGTAGCAAGAGGTTAGGAAACATAGTGTAATGTGGAACCAAACTGGAGAGGGCGTTCTGCAATATGTAGAGGAGTATGGGCTTTATCCTATACAAAAAGGTGGTACTGATGCATTTGATATTGAAGGATTGCATATCAAGATTACATTTTCAAAAGAAACCTATGGCAGGCAAATTTGAAGAAGAGCGAACTGGGGAACAAAAGAGCTCGCAGGAGATTCTCAAAGTAAACGTGAGCCAGAATCCTAGCCAAGACAACAGGAATGTCAACAAAGCACCACAAACCCACAGGTTAAAACAATTCATGTTCCTTATAGTTTATCTGCGCCAGGAGTCTGAGCATGGCTTAGCTCAGTCCTCTGCTTTGGATCTCACAAGAATCTGGCTAGGCTATGTTCTTATCTGGAGCCTCAGGTCCACTTCTAAACTCATGTGGTTATACTGGCAGAACTGGTATATTTGTATATATCATGGGCGTATTGGTAGAATTTATATCCTTGCAGCTGGAGGACTGCTGTCTTGGGGCTGTCACCCTGGTCCTGGCTTATCCTCTCTGAGATCTAGAGACCACCCACAGTTCCTTACCACATGGACCTCTTATAGGCCCTCTCATAACATGATAGCTTACTTCTTCAACTCAGTAGGAGAACCTCTCAGTCCAGGCTACCAAGACCAAGTTCTGTACAATATAATATAATCATGGGAAACAATCCCATCACCTTTGATATATTCTATCATCTAGAAACAAGTCTCAGGTTACATCTGCTCTCAAGGGGAGGGAATTATACAAGGGTGTTACTCATCACAGCTCACATTAGGGTGTGTCTGTGAGAGGATCCATTTTAAGGTCAGACATTGAGATGTAAGAGTTGAGTGTTTCCATCCCAGCAGCAGGGAAGCTGCTGAATAGGGAAGTTCAGACTTTAGGCTCTAAAGCCAGACTCTCTGGGTTCTGTATAGCCATGGGCTGGTAACCTAGTCTGTCTGTGCTTCAGTGTCCTTATATGTAAATGAAGAAAATCAAGCATTGCTGTTAAAAGAGGTGATGCATTAGTAAGAGCTTAGTAAGTGATCATTATGTTTTCACCAATATTACTATATGCTATGATCTGAACTGTGTCCCTCCAAAAATTCATATGCTGAAACCTAATCACCACTGTGATGGTATCAGAAGGTAGAACCATTGGGAAGTGATTAGACTTGGAAAGTAATTGGTTCATGGAGGTAGACCCCTCATGAATGAAATTAGTGCCCTTATAAAAGAGGCCCCAGGAAACTGCCCTGCCCACTTTTACCATGTGAGGACACAGCTAGACAGTTGCATCCATGATCCAGAAAGTGAGTCCTTACCAGGTGCTGAATCTGCTGGCACTTAGATTTTGGATTTCCCAGCCTCCAGAACTGTGAGAAATAATCTTTTTCTTGTTTATAAGCTATCTAGTCTCTGATATTTTGTTATAACAACCCAAACAGACTAAAATGCTGATATGGTTTGGCTGTGTCCCCACCCAAATCTCATCTTGAATTGTAACTCCCACAGTTCCCACTTGTCATGGGAGGAACTGGTGGGAAGTAACTGAATCATGGGGTTTGGTCTTTCCCATGCTTTTCTTGTGATAGTCTCATGAGATCTGATGGTTTTAAAAACTGGAGTTTCCCTGCACAAGCTTTCTCTTTTTGCCTGCTGCCATCCATGTAAGATGTGACTTGCTCCTCCTTGCATTCCTCCATGATTGTGAGGCCTCTCCAGCCATGTGGAACTCTAAGTCCATTAAACCTCTTTTTCTCCCCTGTTGGGCATGTACTTATCAGCAGCATGGAAATGGACTATTAAAGTAAATTGCTGCAGTAGAGTGGGGCACTGCTGGAAAGATACCCAAAAATGTGGAAGCGGCTTTGGAACTGGGTAACAGGCAGAGGTTGGAACAGTTTGGAGGGCTCAGAAGAAGACAGGAAAATGTGGGAAAGTTTGTAACTCACTAGAGACTTGTTGAATGGCTTTGATAAAAATGCTGACAATTACATGGGCAATGCAATCCAGGCTGAGGTGATCTCACATGGAGATCAGGAACTTGTTGGGAACTGGAGTAAAGGTGATTCTTGCTATGTTTTAGCAAAGAGATTGGCAGCATTTTGCCCTTGCCATAGAGATCTGTGGAACTTTGAACTTGAGGGAGATGATTGAGGGTATCTGGCAGAAGAAATTTTTAAGCAGCAAAGCATTCAAGGTGGGACTTACGTGTTGTTAAAAGCATTCAGTTTTAAAAGGGAAACAGCATCAAAGTTCGAAAAATTTGCAGTCTATATGATAGAAAAGAAACACCCATTTTCTGAGAAGAAATCCAAGCAGTCTGCAGAAATTTGCATAAGTAAGGAGGAGCCAAATGTTAATCCCCAAGACAATGGGGAAAATGTTTCCAGGGCGTGTCAGGGACCTTTTGAGGCAGCCCCTCACATCACAGGCCTGAAGGCCTAGGAAGAAAAAATGGTTTTGTGGGCTGGGCCAAGGGCCCCCCTGCTGTGTGCAGCTTAGGGACTTTGTGCCCTTCATCCCAGCTGCTCTAGATATGGCTAAAAGGGGCCAAGGTACAGCTCAGGCAGTGGCTTCAGAGGGTGGAAGCCCCAAGCCTTGGCAGTTTCCATGTGGTGTTGAGCCTTCGAGTGCACAGAAGTCAAGAATTGAGGTTTGTGAACCTCTGCCTAGGTTTTAGAAGATGTATGGAAATACATGGATGTCCAGGAAGAAGTTTGCTGCAGGGGTGGGACACTCACAGAGAACCACTGCTAGGGCAGTGTGGTGGAAGCCCTGACACAGGGTCCCTACTGGGGCGCTGCCTAATGGTGCTGTGAGAAGAGGGCCACCATCCTCCAGACCCCAGAATGGTAGATCCACCAACAACTTGCACCATGTGCCTGGAAAAGCTGCAGACACTCAACACCAGCCTGTGAAAGCAGCCAGGAGGGAGGCTGTACCCTGCAAAGCCACAGTGGAGGAGCTGCTCCAGGCCATGGGAACCCTCCTCTTTTATCAGTGTGACCTGGATGTGAGACATGGAGGCAAAGGAGATCATTTTGAGCTGAAGATTTGACTGCCCCACTGGATTTCAGATGTGCATGGGGACTGTAGTCCCTTTTTTGGCCAATTTCTCCCATTTAGAACAGTTGTATTTCCCCAATACCTGTACCCCCATTGTATCTAGGAAGTAACTATCTTGCTTTTGATTTTACAGGCTCATGGATGGAAGGGACTTGCCTTGTCTCATTGAGACTTTGGACTGCGGACTTTGAGTTAATGCTGAAATGAGTTAATACTTTGGGGGACTGTTGGGAAGGCATGATAGGTTTTGAAATGTAAAAAGGATGTGAGATTTGGGAGGGGCCAGGGTGGGATGACCTGATTTGGCTGTGTCTCCACCCAAATTCCATCTTGAATTGTAACTCCCACAATTCCTATGTGTCGTGGGAGGAACCTGGTGGCAGGTAATTGAAACATGGGGGGGAGGGGGGCAGGTCTTTCCCATGCAGCTCTCATGATACTGAATAAGTCTCATGAGATCTTGTGGTTTTAAAAACTGGAGTTTCCCTGCACAAGCTCTCTCTTCTTTGCCTGCCACCATCCATGTAAGATGTGACTTGCTCCTCTTTGCCTTCCTCCATGATTATGAGGCCTCCCTAGCCATGTGGAACTGTGAGTCCATTAAACCTCTTTTTCTTCCTTGTCTTGGGTATGGGGTATGTCCTTATCAGCCGTGTGAAAACAGACTGATACAGACAAAAGAATGTGACCTTCACATTCTTTTCAGCATCACTAAACTTTAGATGGCCCCTCACTTCCCTTTTCTTAGAGCATTTGCTTTAGAAAGCTTACCATTTATCTGGGAGGCCGAGGAGGGTGGATCACCTGAGGTCGTGAGTTAGTGACCAGCCTGGCCAACATGGTGAAATCCCATCTCTACTAAAAAATACAAAAAAATTAGCCGGCCATAGTGGGGGACACCTGTAATCTCAGCTACTCAAGAGGCTGAGGCAGGAGAACTGCTTGAACCCACTAGGCAGAGGTTGCAGTGAGCTGAGATTGTGCCACTGCACTACAGCCTGGGTGACAGAATGAGAATCCATCTCAAAAAAACAAAACAAAAAAAAAACAACAACAAAAAAGAAAGCTTACCATTTGTAAGTTATTTCTAAGCCCCTTTGAGATGTAAATCTTCTCCCAGCCTCTTGCCACTTTCACAGCCCTTCAATGTCTTTCTCAAGGACCTGGGAGCTATCTGTTTGAAATATAATTATCAAGAAAGATAGCCCTCCCATTTTCCAGCCTCTTTGGTATGGTAGGAGCCTAGCTTTAATAAGGCATAATTTGCAAACACAGATGGCCTAACCACACTGACCAACCTTCCTGCAAAAGTCCTCTAGTATTTTTCCACTAGCTCATCTTAGTGCTTAGAAAACTCTCACCTTTTCTTTCAGTGGAATTGAGTTCAATCTTTCTCTCCAATTGCAATAGTCGTAAATAAAGTCTTCCTTGTCTATTTAACTCTGTCTGGTACAATCATTCTTTGACAATATCACAGCAATCCATATGGCAACACTCCTTTTCTAACCTGGCTCATGGGTAGCAGCTTTGGAACATGGCCAATAGGCAAAAACAAAACTCAATGAGTTTTGGCATCCTCCTGCCTCCCCTCTTCTATATCTATTCCCCTGAGTGACCACTGCCCTTGAATATTAAGACTCTTCACTTAGTGCCCAGACTCCAGATCTATTTTTTCTTTCTTCCTGCTTGGTCCATATAATGACTGCAATATAATAAAGGATGCCAAACAAAAATTTCTCAGGGGGGGTAAATGTCAGATTATGGCTCATTCATTGTATTATGTTTTCCAGGAGAATTTCCATTTTAACGAGACGAATTTTCTTAACCCAAAAGAATTTTCTTAAATCAAAAAATTTTATCACTAATTTCAACCTGGGAGAAGAGGTATTATTAGATACTGGCACTTCCTGGAAAGTTGTAATTAACTAAACAAGTTGCAACATATTTAGCCTACACGTAGGCTCTGATTGGTACAAATGAGCAGAATATACATTTATGGGATTAGATACATTTAAGGATTAGAAAGAGCAGACCACTGTGAAATAGACAGAAATCCAAATCTAAGTCATATGGGCAAAATGGAATACTGACTCATTGTTTTTTTTTTTGTTTGTTTGTTTTGTTTTTGTTTTTTACTATAGCTTAGAAACACATAGATAAAATGAGATGTATCTTCACTTATAAGTGTCAAAAAGTTTGAAAAATAATGTAGCTTGTCTAATATCATATAAACATCAGAGAAGCTTTGTCTTAGGTATAAGCAGAATTCTTACCAGTTTAAAATACGTGCTTTCAGAGAGTTGCTCACTCTCAATGGCTAATCATAATTTCAGAGGACACTGATGTTGAAATAAATAAATTTCTTTCTTTTTTTTTTTTTTTTTGAGATGGAGTTTCACTCTTGTTGCCCAGGCTGGAGTGCAATGGCACAATCTCACCTCACTGCAACCGCTGCCTCCCGGGTTCAAGTGATTCTCCTGCCTCAGCCTCCTGAGTAGCTGAGATTACAGGCATGCGCGACCACACCTGGCTAATTTTGTACTTGTTCTAGTAGAGACCGGGTTTCTCCATGTTGGTCAGGCAGGTCTTGAACTCCTGACCTCAGGTGATCTGCCTGCCTTGGCCTCCCAAAGTGTTGGGATTACAGGTGTGAGCCACCGCACCTGGCCAATAAATTTAATTGAGGAAACGTGTGACTAAACAGCAGCAACCTCTCTTGCATGTGTGTTTGTGCATGTGAGTGTGTGTGCGTGTGTGTGTGTGTGTGCATAGGTACATATTGGGGTTAGTGCTTACAGTTCCCATATTACAAGATAGACCTATACCAGATCTTTCAGATTCAAGAAGGAGGTGAGCAGAACTAGTAGGGGGACATTCTTTTGACTGAATGGAATATAAATATTTCAGAATACGGTGTCTGCATTTGTGAAGAAAATGTCAATTCTTTGTGACTTTTGATTTTGGAAACATAGTTTGTATGGCCCTTGCATTTGTAGAATCCTGATTATTGGTTCTTTTAGCAGAGAAACCTGTTTCTAGGGGCTTGTTTTAATGAAATTAGAAATTCTATTTCTAGAACCAAGAATCAAGTAAAACTGGCTACAGAATCATCAAGATTTTATCCCTGGTTTAAATTTTTTTAATGCTTTTAGACAGTAAAAAAAAAAAGTGGTGGGTTGGAAGAATGAAAACAAATTGAAGAAGTAAAAATCCATAATGAGGCACATAAACTCGGTCTTCTTCAAACTCAAAGAAGTAGTATTTTCTTTTTGTCTTCTTTGTGCTATTTGAGAATTTCTTGGTCATTCAGGTGACTTGCTCTTACAAAACCAGGTTCTGTCCAGCTGTTTTTGAGACGTGGGATTTGAAGTGCGAAGATAGGTTGTGACCTAACCCTGTGCGTGTGACGCACATTTTAGCACAATAGGACTAAGAGTTCTGAGTAGAGCTTTCTACTTGCTGAAGACTGTGCTGTTCCATGGAAGACAGAAGTGCTGGGGAGAGGAGAGTTATGTTTCAGTGGCAGCGTGAGTTAAGTAGCATGTTAGGCACCGTTCCACTAAAGGAGATCTTGTGAGAAAATGCCAGCTCCTTAAATCTCCTTGCACTTTCATGCATGAGACGATGTCAGTGATAAATGACGTGGAAACTAAACACAGTGCAGTACTTCAGACAGTCTCTCTAGAATTAAGCTGGTCACGTATAGATCTAGAAGTCAACCTTTTCAGTCTGCAGGGAGCAGCCAGGATCATGACCTACAACCAAAGCAGAAGAGAAGGCTTAACTTGAATAAAAGAAAAAGTGCTATGAGATAGGCAGCCTTTTACTTTATTAAGTAGAGAGGCTGGGGCAGGAAATTAGATTCCAGGTTAGTATGCACATAGATTTTTGATACGTTTCAAAATACCTGGCCTTGACTTTCTGAAACTATCGTGTACATGCATGCGTGTGTGTGTGTGTGTGTGTGTGTGTGTGTGTGTGTGTGTGTGTGTGTGGTTCTTGAGTGTGCCTTTAGCAGGCAGGAACCCCCTTTATCCAAGGTTTTGTTTTCCATGGTTTCAGTAACTTGCGGTCATCTGGTCAACTGTGATCCAAAAGTTAAGTGAGTGTAGTACAGTAAGATATTTTGAGAGAAAAAGACCACACTCATACAACTTTTTTTACAGTATATTGTTACAATTGTTCTGTTTTATTAGTAGTTAGTGTTGTTAATCTGTTACTGTGCCTAATCTGTAAACTAAACTTTATCATATAAAAAAACATAGCAATTTTTAAGATTTGGTGCTATCCGTGGTTTTGTCAGAGGCATTTGAATCAGAGTGACTCCATCTTGAATGGGAGCTGAGTAAAACGAGGATGATACCTGCTGGGTAAAATGAGGATGATATCTGCCGGGCTGCATTCCCAGGAGGTTAGGCATTCTTAGTCACAAGATGAGACAGAAGGTCTACAGGACTGGCAGAGGTGGTAAAGACCCTGCTGATAAAACAGGATGCAGTAAAGCAGCTACCAAAACCAAGATGGTGATGAAAGTAACCTCTGGTCGTCTTCAGTGCTCATTATCTGCAATTACAAAAGACATTCCCACCAGTACCATGACAGTTTACAAATGCCATGGCAATGTCTGGAAATTACCCTATATAGTCTAAAAAGGGGAGGAACCCTCAGTTCTAGGAATTGTCTGCCCTTTTCCTGGAAAACTTATGAATAATCCACCCCTTGTTTAGCATATAATCAAGAAATAACCATAAAAATACCCAACCAGCAGCCCTTGGGGCTGCTTTGCCTATGGAGTAACCAATCTTTTGTTCTCTTGCTTCTCTAATAAACTTGCTTTCCCTTTACTCTGTGGACTCCCCGGGAATTCTTGCATGAGATTAAAGAACCCTCTCTTGGGGTCTGGATTGGGACCCCTTTCCAGTAACAGTTTCAGGCATCCACTTGGAACCTAACCCCATGGATACTGCTGGGCTACAGTACCTTTGTTGGAGGGTCTCCTCAGTGCTGACAGCAGTGTCCTTTGCTTAGGCTGGGCAGAGAATAGCCTGTGGGATGCTTTTTGGCCTCATCAGAGCATCCGTCACCTTTCATTCTCCCTGAAATATGACCCCTTCAAGCAGAGAGCCCTTCCTCCCACTGCTGTCTGTGCTGGGGCTCTGCATGAAGCAGGTGTCCCACCTGGGTGGTCCTGTGCTGCTGGGGACAAGCAGTGAACAGATGGTAAAGATGGGGGCAGGGGTATCTTGGCTGTTGAACAGAGTTGTGTAATTTTCTGATTTCCCAAGTGTTTTTCCAAAATCTTGCTCTCTGACACAGGAGTTAAGCCTTTAATTTTGCAGGGAGATCAGAGCTAAAACTGAGTCAGCCCAGGGGGAAGCACAGAGACAAACCCTCCTAACTCAAACATGTGAGGCTTGCTGGGGAAAGAGTAGGTTGCATTGGCAAAGGGACTCCTGGGGGACTTGAAAGAAAATGGGAATTGTGGTAAATGTGCATTTAGGTGAAAATCTGGGAAGTGCATAGCTGGACAATCTTGTCACTGCTCCAAATGTCCTCCCATTTCCAATGGCATCTTTCTTTCAGTCTTATTATTCATGCCTTGAACCTCAAAAATGACATTATACAAAGTAAAATATGAAGCTTTTTTTTTTCTATAACCTTCAGAGAATCAGCATGTTAACTATATACCCCTCAAATGCACAAACTATTATTTGCAATCACTGGGACATAAGGACAGTCTGGTTGAGAAGAAATAATGCTAGGCTAGGTGTGAAAAGTCGTGGTTCAACTTAGGGACTCATCACTCAACCCTGTGACCCAGTGAGCAAGAGGTTCTTGAATATTCTGTATTTCACCTGAAAAGTAGTGTTGAGGAATTCTACAGCATATCTTGCCTCACTTTTTCATTGGGTAAAACGTAGCACTTTTATCCAATGAATAAGTGAGGGAAGATATGCTTTTTATGCTTACAGGCCAGGCGTGGTGACTCACGCCTGTAATCCCAGCACTTTGGGAGGCCGAGGCGGGTGGAATACATGAGGTCAGGAGTTCAAGAGCAGCCTGGCCAACGTGGTGAAACACGGTCTCTACAAAAATTAGCCAGGCATGGTGGCATGTACCTGTAATCCCAGCTGCTGCTCAAGAGGCTGAGGCAGGAGAATTGCTTGAACCGGGAGGTGGAGGTTGCAGTGAGCCAAGATCCCACCACTGCATTCCAGCCTGCGTGACAGAGTGAGACTCTGTCTCAATAAACAAATAAATAAATAAATAAATAGCATATAGACATATTCTGTGGGCTAGAGAACAACTGATTATCATCCATGCTGATTTTCTTTGTTTGTCTCCCATGTGTCTGTGGAGCAGGGAAATAATGGCAAGAAAAAATAACTGAGTAGTCATTGCCTGTTCTTCCACGGCATTCCTCTTGGGGGAGTGTCTCCAGTGTATTTTGACATTTAATTTTGATGTTTTACTGTCAAAACAATAGAATATTTATTAAATCTAAAAATACCATTCAGAATCCTTCCATCTTAATGCAAATGTTTAATTTCTGTTATATTCACTTTTGGTTTACATTTTCATATATATGTATAGTTTAAATAGGTGCAATCACATTACACTGTACTTTTTTTAGTTAACATCATATGGTAAACATTTGAAGCATTCTTGCATGTTTCTCCCTAGTCTTTATAATTACTATTTTCCTAGAGTCATGATGGTGCATCAAGTTGACAGATCATACTTCATCAACCCCCTCTTACTGGGTGTTTATATTACTACCACTGCTTGGGCAGTGAAGCCTGCAAAAGGTGCTTTTTATCCATCTTCATAAATGTGGCTATGGAGTGCAGCAGCTCGAGAGCCTGCAAGGGATGTTGTGGATTCTGGTTCCCACATTAAGGAGATCCAAGCTGGCCTTCATTATAAGGGCTGCATGACTGAGGTTGGGTACCGCAACCCTCGACTCTTCCTCTCTGTTCTCTCTTTTAGGTTCCTCTCCATGAAAAAACTAAAAAGCAAATCAAATCCACTGTGCACAGGATGTAAAACCTATGTTTTCCAAAAGAAATCTAATATGTTTGAATGAAAAATTCTCTAGAGTATCAATTTGATTTAACAAAATGTATTAAGGGGATGCTATATGGTAAAATTGCCGTGGTTAACCTCAAAAGCTCTGACTCAGAGAGACCTGGGGTTATATTTCTGCTCTGTTCTATGATGACTGAATAGCCACAGCAAGTTATTTCATCTTTCTCAGATGCAGTTTCCTCAGTTGAAAAATGAGAAGCCCATGATTTAATACATAAAAAATATTTAGCACATCTATGGCACAGAGTTACTGTAGAATAAAGCATAGCTATTATTATTGTTGTTGTTTTTATTATGTGTCTTCCAGGCTAAGCAACTTAGGCAAGTTATATTACTCACAGAAGCCTCTGTTTCCATATCTATAAAATGGAACTCATACTAGTATCTACCTTTTGATCTGTTAGAAAGATTCAAGAAGGCAATGCATGTAAATAGCTCAGAATAGTGCCTAGCACAAAGCAATCCTTTGATAAGTGTGAGTTATTTTAGTTTTGCTTTTAATGATCAGAGCAACCTGGCTAGCCCTGTATTATTCTCCATCCTTGTACTGAGAAGGAAATGGAACCCCAGAGGGTCTCGATTACCTGTCAGTCATACATCTATTGGATGTAAATACCAGAGTTGAAACTAGGACCAGCTTGACTTCAAAACCCATGCTCTTCCCATTCTTGCAAACTCTGGGCAATTCTATATGAATGAAAAAAGTTCTTGATTGTCAGAATTCCATAATGTAGTGAGAAGAACTACTAAGCATGAATATCTAGGATGAGAGATGGGGCACCCTGAGGACAGAGGAAGATGTGGGAGCCAGTGCTGGGAGGACCAGAACAGGATGAGTCCTGCTTGGGGAAAGAGAGACTGGGGAGGCCTTGTAGAGAAGGTGACCTGTCCTTGGTCTGCCACTGCTCCCTGAACTGGTAGCAATTGTGAATTCCAGGAGAGCAGTAGTCGAAATGAACTTAATATTTCTTCAGATGAGAAAAGGTGCCCTGAGGGAAGAAAAATCTGGATGGGCTTTGACGTTCAATTTCCAAGCACTTCAGCTTCCAAGAGAACACTAAAGACACCTTCCTCACCTACTTTTCTGCTACATTTCTCATGCTCCCTCTTCTTGCCCCACCCTTTCCCTGCAGACTGCTGCTCCTGCCACAGGTAATGGATTTGGGGAAACAGAATTTCTGACCTAGGCTTTTTTTAGTAGGAAGGCCAAAGTGGAGGGCGGAACAGGGGAGAAGAGAATGAATGACAGAATGAAAAATTGCACCTTCCTGCTTGCCTCTTCTTTCACTCATTGGCAGCCAGTTTAATGGAAGGAATTGTATTACATTAAAAACAAAAAAGAAAAATGTTAAACAACCACCACCACCACCCAGTAAAATCTCTGTCATTTGGATGATCATTTTGCTTTGTTGGAGAGTTAAAAAGCATCTCTCCATTTGGTGCTGAATTAGTATTTGGAATGGTCTGTCTTTCGGCACTGGCTGTCCCATTGCATTTGCCTGCAGGGGCTCCTAAGGACATTCCTAAGTGCTGTCTTTTGAGTAAGTTGGGAAGAATGAAGTTGGGGAGGCACTCCACAGAAACCATGCGGTTTCATCTCTTCCACTTTATCGGATAACACCAAGGGCAACTTGTTTAAGGTATCAGGGCAGACATGAGCTGCCATTTCCAGACTCACTGGGTCAGAGCTTCTCGGCTTGGAAGTATGTGGGCGTGGCCCTTGGATGACCCCAGAAGGTTCAGTGGAGCTGGGAATTCAAGTCCACACATAGTTTTGCATATTAGTCCATACTTTTGCCTGTGTGATGATAGCAGCTCCATCACATTTGCCCCCTTCTGTATCTGCCTCTGCAGTTGAGCTGTGAGCTCCTTAAAGGAAGATGTACTTTATTTGGCACAGTTACTGGTCCCCGGAAGCAGCTCAGTGCTAGCACAGCCGAGTGCGTGGTAACAGCAAGGGTTCTGGGCGGAGGCTGCCTGGGTTTTAATGCTGGTTCTGCTCCCCACTCTGTGACTTTGGCCAAATTACTAAACCTTTCAAGCATCAATTTCTTCACCTATAAAATCAGGCAAATGTTTAGTGCTTATCTCAAAGGGCAGGTTCCTGGATTAACTGAGGCTATTCCAAGCAACACTTGAAACCTTGAACCCCTTCACTAACTGGTACTCATTACTATAGTTACTTTTATTGTTGCTTTTACATTTTAAAAAACCATAGAAATGAGAATGGGAACTGTGCATTTGAATGTTCTGTTTTGCTTCATTTTCTTTCCTTCCTGTTCTGAGTTTGTTTGGACATCACAGGCTATGATTTCTTTGGACAGTGGGTTTATGGGTTATCCCATCTGACATTCTATATATTTACTTGCATATTTATTTATCACCTGTCTTCCTTTGATAGCAGGCAGGGGCTTTCATTCTGGTTTGTCATCGCATGGTGCATGGAACATAGTAGTGAATTAGGGACTCAGTGATGGAAGCCATCTCTGGGGTTTTACATTTTTCAGTCTCAGACACTAGCAGAGAAAATACCATGTCAATTCTAAGTTCCAAAATCCCAGGGATGGGGGGTCCTTGGCCTACTTTGGGTCAAATGCCCACACTGTGTACGGGATGGGACCACATGGTAATGTGGCCCTGGTGAATGTGTAATGGAGGGAGAGGAGGCAACCCTAGGACCAAAAGGCTGTGCTGAGTAGATAAAATAGTAGACGCTGAACAAAAATTATACAGTTCTTTCCTCTAAGGAGTTTACCTATAACAATTTTATCCCTTTCTCTCTAGTTTTGAATTTAGGAAGGGCAAGGCCATCTTGACCCAGAAAAGCCCTTTGTGCATTTACCTGAAAGAATATCACTTCCATCTTATCCTACAATCAGGCAGCAAGTATTTACTGAGTAATGATTGCCTGCCAGCAGCATGCAGTAAGTACCCTGTGATGTAGAGAGATAGACATGCAAAGCAGAGAAATAGATTTGGGAGTCATTTGCATCCTGGTGAGAGAGGAAGTGCTGCAAGCAGATGAGCTCTCTGAGTAGACAGGTGGGGAAGGGAAAGAAAACAATTCACAATCTCAGGAAACTTCACAGAAGGAGAGGGGTTGGCCACCATGTGCCAGCTGGAGCTGAGTGAGGACAAACTTCAGGGAACCGTGGTTCTGCAGGGACCTGGGACACAGGAGGAGTCTATCCTCGAAGGAGCCCCTCCCACACATGCTGCAAAGAGAAGGAGACTGATAAGCCTGTGCTTATTAGCATCTTGAGGACACAAGTGCTGTTTTGCCTACATTTGCTTTTTCACTGTCTAACACAAGCTTCTTAAATCACCCCAGGCAGTACACATGTGAATAAAATTTCCAGTTCTTAAGGTACCCATTGCAGCCTTTAGTGGTCGTGAAGAAACAATACCAATTTCTCTGCCCTCAAAACTGAAAGGACAAATGGTACAGTGTTGTTACCCTTCCTTGTGTGATGGTGATTACTGTTAGTTATCTTAACAAGCCTCTATGAGGCATCTTTTGTGCTTTTGACAGACCTATAAACACAATAATTTCAGCAATACTTGGTGTCCTTAGGGATATTCAAGCACACAGAATTCTTGTAGTGTTCGAGCTAAATTGATAGACTTTTAAAAATGATTGACAATTACCAATAGTTGGAGGTTTTAAAGCTTATTTCATGTACTCCATGAATGCACTGCTTCAACTTCTATTTCTTAGAGGGCTTATGATTTATCCACTGCAGAAAAAACATTTCAAAAAAAAATTTCAAGGGAAATTCGGTGAACCAAATAAACCACCTTTGGTCAGATACTTGTTTGATAACTGAATCACATATTGTTTACTTGGTTCACCTCTGTGAACCACCCTACCATGCCAAAGGCAAAATTATTCATCCACAGAGCACGGATTAAGCACCGTAAGATGGAAAGGACATGTTCTTTGTACTTAGGGAAGTTAACAACTAATAAATGAGGATAAGACAGCTACACAGATAACTGGCAACAGGTACAAGGCAACGGGTGGTAATTACAAAATGTCTAGCATATTTCCCAGCATGGTAAAAATTAATATTTTTGAATGAGTAAATAAATGAAGGCATTGACTAGAAAAGTGTATGTGATTTCAGAGGAAAGAGAGGGAACCTCATGAAATGATGGCGTGTACCTTCCTATTGAGTATGGAATTGGAGAGGAAGGAGAGGGTTTGGGGGTATAGAGATGAAGGGAGGAAAGAATAGCACAAGGGAGAATGTAGGCAGAAGCATTAAGTTGGGAACTGGAGAGACTGGGGAGGCCATGCGGGTAGTTTTCAGCCAAAGGCAGGCAGAATTGCCCAGAGGAAATAAAGGATCTTAGGAAGTCACGATATTTATCATAGCTAAACATAGTGTACTAGGAGACTTGATTCTCATTTATACAATAGATAATGAGCTTTCTCTCTGGACTTAATAAGTCTTAACAGCATTCAGACTATCTCTGTACATAAATTACGGTATTGTATGGGGTCTCCAATAACTTTTTGTTTCTTTTACAACCATAAGCTCAAGCAAAGTAGAGACAATCTACAACATTTAAAATAACTTGAATAAAGAAGACAACAGTATCTACAACTATGTGTATAGCATTCTTATTGGAAATCCTGTAAAAAATATAAATTACATACTTTAAACAAAGTGGTGTATGGTGTCTTTTGCACATTATCATGGAAGCCTTTTGGTGTGAAGACATAATTTATATTCAAAAAGATTCCATGATTTCAAATTCATCAACTATATGAAAGGAAAATATTCCACATTTGTTCTCTTATCTTTTGTTTTGAACTCATTGGATAAAATAGGCCACCTCTTTCAAGCATAGGCAGTCTGAACATTCTGAGATGGATGTCACCATTGGAGAGCTTCAGGGATTTTGCACACCATGTGTCTACATTGTGATTTTCTGTAACCTTCCTCCTTAGTGTGTGATAATTTGCTCAAAGCCTACATATTATCAGCTGTTGGAAGAGGGGAACAGAAGCATAGATGACTGACGGAGATGTTTCATTTGAATAGACCAACAAGTCTAAACAGACAACTTTATTGGCTTACTGAACTGTAGACCACCACTGTTCATATTGCAGCTTGGGCCATCAGTTGGCTTAATAATATTTAACTACTTTATATTCTATTTGAAATAAATAGGTAAATGAATCTCTAAATACAGTGTGTCAGTGATGTATCAGTGAGATATCAAACTAGTTTAAGTGAAAGAGGCCATCACTTCTTATCTCAAACAAAGACAGCAATTTATTGCTTGCTAAGTGAAGGAGAACTTGGCTTGTAAGCCCGCTCACTCTGAGCAAAGCAGAGGCCTAATGTGTAGGGGTTCAAGGATCCTGGAGTTGAGGGATTGACAGAATTTCAAAAGCGAGGGTGTTTAGATATTGGTTGACCTTTAGCTGTGAAAGTGTGGTTACTTAAAAATCATTGTTACTCACTCGCTGATTTTCAGAAATATTGGGCTGTAACTGATTGGTTGGCTTTTGGGAACATGGTGAACCATGCAAAGTTGTTACTAATCAATTAGGGTGGATTTAAAGTTGGTTCTGGTGATTCCTTGCTGCTGTGGCCCAAGAAAAAATCACTGCTTTCCTATAAGGGTAGGAACTTTTGTTGTCACTAGAAACCGTTGTTATCATCCTCCATGTCGAAAATTTAAAACTCTTGTCTGACCTTTTTTTCCACATTGAGGAATACAGTGAGAAAGGGATAAAATTCTTTTTACAAGATAAAGTATGAAAAAATACCAAATATTAAAATAGGCTGTCTGAAGTGTTGACATGTGAAGATAACAAGTGATATATGAATCGTTAACTTTTGAATTAAAATTTTCTGTCCCTGGCTATATTATAGCCCTGAAATAGTTTGACTGTGTATTTGCATTGCCTTCCAGATTATATAGAGCACATTCATTTACTTCAGGTCTGCTGGAGAAAAATGGACACAATAAATTGAATTAGTTTGACATATTAGTTTGGAAGAAATAAAGGCAGAAAAAAGTGTCAGGTTGAAATAATAATTCTTTTTATTTCCCTTTTGTAAAACTTCTCCCTTGCAAGAATCTTGTATTCAAGGGCTCTGTAATAATGAGGATGGTATGAGGGTCATTGACTGGTGTGTGGCCCAATGAAGAGTGTGAACAGGAAGAAATAATTTGAGAGTGAGAAAAATGGTTCTTCAAAGATTAAAAAAAATTTATTTTTATTCTGCAAGTGTCAGTCTAGTATGAAGCATTCAGGTTTTCTATATGTACTAAGATAAGCACATTATGTTGTAAGGTTCTTCTTGAAGCTTAGCTACTAGTAGCCATTGAAAGAGGGGGACAGAAACATGGGTGACTGAAGATGTTTTATTGAATAAGCCAACAAGTCTAAACAGACAGCTTCATTGGAGACCAACCTTCTGTCTATTGCAGCTTGTGGTCAGCCTCATCTCATAGTGTCTGATTTTGTATTATTGGAGAAATCTGTCATATCATAACCCTGAGACCATCCTGAGGACTACTAAAATATCCTTTCATTTTTAGACATCTATAATTGCTAAACACCCATGTGGGTGTTTAGCAATTATAGATGTCTAAAGACCCCACAGTTTTGTTAAGAAGAGAGTAGATGCACGCCCGTCACATTCAAGAAGAAGCGGACTCTGGAAATGCATAGGAAGGAAATGTGGAAGGGGTGAAGAGGGAATCAGCCCAGGGAGGTATTAAAACAGTCATGAGGGGTGTTTGAAATGGGCCAGTGGAAGGGGATTTCAGGTTGTAACAAGAATATCAGCTGACAGAGCCACATGGTCAATAGGAAAAGAACAGGAGATGAAAGTGGCAGCTCTACCTCAGGGGCGGTGCCTGAAGCAGCTTCTTTCTGTCAATCCTGAAAAATGCAGTGAGGAAGAGGTAGAAAGGGCGAAAACAAGACAGAGAGATAAAGGACCCTTTCTTTACAACATTTCCCCCCTGCTGGAGCTACACCTTTGAGCCCTTTAAAGCACTTACAATCATTCTACTTAACGTTTTCTCACTTAATTGCATCTTATCCTGTATTGTTCTCTAATTGTCTCAGGTGTGTCTAAGTCAGGCTTCCTAGAGGGCAAAACTGCACTCTACTCTCTTGGTTCTTCATGGCAGAGCTAAGCACAAGGCTGATAGCATAATTGAGCAAGCTCTCATTTCAGACTTGATTGGCTGACTGATTAAAATGGAAGTAAACAGCTTAGGTAATTATTTTTTCCATTGCTAAGAAGACTGGAAGACATTTATTTCATAACTCTTGCCAGATGAGTCTGAGAAACAGTATGGTTGCCTTGAATCCTTGGGCCTCAGTTTGACAATATGTAAAATTTGGTGATGAACTTTGGCAACACTAGCATTGCCCCAGAAAGTAGGAGTTAAATGGACTGGGTGGGACTCCAGCCTGCTCTTTGCAAAGTGTTGGTAGCATCCTGTGGAGAAGCAGTGCACATAGTTTTGTGCGTGGAATTTTAATGCCTGGGAAGAGCCAATATGAGGTATACTTTTTTCCTGCATTGAAATTCCTTTTTTAAAAGTGGTGAAATGGTGAAAGCATCTTGAAAAATGTTTTACTATTTTACTTTTGGTTCCCAAATTATGCACTGCCTGGATTTGTGTACCCCTGGATAATGAGGGAACATCACAGCCTAGAAGATAACAATAACTCTTGAATAGGGTAAAAAAGCCGTTTATCTTTCTGTTTCCGCTCTGCCAGCAAGCATCTGAAAATCACTAACATTCCTATTTGAATAAATATTTTGGTAAGATATGTTCATTTGAATTTCTACCCTCAATAACTTAGATTGTGATGGGAAAAAAGGAAAGAGATGAAATAGTTTTTATTAAGAACTTCAACTGCATTTCTGAAAGTGCTGTTGATATTAGAATATCTTTTTCTATTTGATATTTTCCCTTCTCCCGAACAGGTTTTACTTGAACAGTTAGTGATGTACTGCTCTATAGGAATGTGTGCATATGAAATGACAACAGCAAAAGACTGGAGATACCCCTCAGCCTCTTCATACATTTATCACCTGCTCTCTGCAGGTGTTGCCAATTAAGTTATAGCTTTTTGTAACCCAAAGCCTTTTTATGTCCTCTTTTGGATTTTGAAATGTAGATACTGGAGTATGGAAACTCAGTTGAACTCTATGCACCCTCATAAAAAATGCCTAACTTCTCCAATTAAGACATTTTAGAGGTTGCTAATGATACAGAGTCTTGATGGCCCATATGGAAGATCAGGAGTAAGAGCTAAGTTAGAGAGAGAGATCTCCTCCAGATTGTGAACAGTGTTTAACCTAAGAGCGAAAAAGTGACATGTTAGGGGGAAATCAACAAATAGTCACTGAGTGTTTCCTGGAGTTAGTCTCATTTGCTGTGGGAAATATAGAGCCAAACAAGACAGGATCCCTGGTCTTGGGAAGCTCACAAGAGATTTCAGTAGGCTAATTGTAACAATACAAGGAGGAAAAAAATTGGCTCAAATATAGGTCAGACTTAGCTGGATTGTACAATTTCAGAAGGTAGACATGTCAGACAGTGATCCAGGGCATGCTGTACTCAGCTTGAGATTGCAACAAAACAAAAAGTGCCTTTAAATAGAATTATTATTATGAAATTGATATAATTGCTTCTACTCTTGGGCATTTCTTGCTGAGCTCAAATTCCCCAGGTTCCCTGACCTTGCTCACATAACTTCTTTTGGAGGCAAGCATCCTCTCATCATCCTAATATTCTCTCCTACCCGTGCAAAAACTGCCTGAACTCTCGATTATATCTCTACAGCACAGAATATATACTAACCATCACCTCCCATGACTTGGATAGTCTACCTCTGTTAACACAGGTTAAGATTGCATCAAATTTTGTCATGCAGCATCACAATGTAGACCTATATTTAGTTTATGGGCTGATAAGCCTTTTGTTTCATTTTCCACATGAGTTTTTGCTGAAACATATCTCCCAAGAGAATTTGAAAAATTAAAATTTTGTACAGAATTAACTTAGATTTTTGTTAAAATCCAGCTAGTTTGTTTTGACCTATTGTTCTAACCAATCACATTTGTTTTTTAAAATCCTGGTAACATCATTATATATACTAATGGCTCTTTTCTGCCTTTAGGTAAGCACTATCAAAATTATTTAGAAATCCATGCTTTTTTTTTTTTCTTAAATCTCATTGTATACTGCTTGGAAAGATTCTGAAATTAGATTCATTCACTCTTCTTGCTGTAGGAAAAATGGCACATATTGCAAAAAGGCCATTTATCCTCTGTCACCATAACAATCTGTTGGCCTCAACCCAAATTTCCAAATGATCTTTTATCGCCGCCTTTTATTTTTCTTCTGTAGCTAAAATGAAGGCTTCTTTGATTTGAATTTGGTTCCTAAAGAGTTTGCCTTTTCATAGGTCAGGTGTTATTTGGTATAGAAATAGTCAGCTTACGTATCGGGAGTTGTAGTTTAACACATTTCTGAAAAGGAGCAATAAAAAACACTATCTCCCCCACTGTGCCTTCAAAAATGACTTATGTTGCTTTATGCTAATATTAACAGGCTGCTTCAGGCTGGAACAACATGCTGGAAAATTGTGGTCTGCCATGCATTTCCTTTGATGTTATTCCATGCCAGATCAGCAGGGAGTTTGCCCAACCGTGGCTGGGTGTAGTTTTCGAAGTTCAAAACTGTTACTTCAGTACCATTTCTCAGGACAGCTCCCAATACACCTATATCATCTTCCATTTCATTTTAGACTTGTAAAGGACTGCTCGTGTTTTCAAAAGAACTATATTGTCATTGCTTCTCTTTTATCTAGCACTTGCTTTCTGGTTTCTTTGCATAGAGTTGCTTATTGCTATTATTATTTTTAAGCACAAAGAAACTTGAGAGGAGGAATGGCACATTGACCATAAAAGATACATTATTAGACAGCTCTAAAATGCTCTGTAAAAGCGTTAGCTACAACCTCCACTTTAATAACTCTATAACCATCCCCTCACCTCAAAACATTAAAATTACCACCAAACTGAAAAGTATTACTTAATGAGCCTAAGCATAACAATAACATAATCCCTACAAATATGTGCATTACATACTTTACCTGCATTATCCCATAAAATCCCTGTAATAAGCCCACAAGGCCGGTGCCATGGTCTAAGGTTATTTGCTCAGGTTTTCAGAGTAGAATGCGTGGGTCAAATCCTGGCTCCACTCTTTTCTCCTGCGTGAAATTGGTGAAATTTCTTAACTTCTTCAAGTCTTGGCTTTCTCTCTATTTATGAAGCTAGTTGTAAAATTGATCTTTTGGGTTGTATTAGGAGTTAACATAAGAAAATAGATGTAAAGTATTCATCAAAGTGCCTGGAAAATGGTAAGTAGAAATGGCTACCTTTTAATGAGTCCTGATGTGTTTTGCTACTATCCTAGAACTTTGTGTGCCATATTAATTTAATCCTCATAAGGACTATTATCATCTTCAGTTTACGTATTAGGAAAATGAGGGTGAGTAAGGTGCAATAATTGCTCCACAGGTATACAACTTACTGGGAAGTATGTAGCAAATACAGAGCTTAAATCTGGAAATATATGCATCTAGCTTTTATTAAATATCCAATGAACATTCATTTTTATGGTTGTTGTTAGCAACTCAAGAAGAAACGTAGAACCCTTTTCTGACATAGTAAAAGATGATTCAGCAATTGTTTCACAGAACTAAATATATGGACACAATCTAGTTAGCATGACAATTACTATAACTAAACCACCTAACTGAGCACCTTAGGCTTGTTTCTTCTAGAATATCTTTGCAGCAGCCCCATATGGTCACTGTCATTGTGGCCTCTGTTTTCCTAGGCAGGAAACTAACAGCAAGAGTTCCTAAGGTTGTACAGCAAATTAGGAGCGAAGTGAGACCTCTGGTTTGCAAACTAAATCTCTCTGATTTGCACGATGTTTCCCTTGAAAAGCTTACACTTAATAAAGGGGATTGTTGAATAAATGAAAGAATCATGCAGAAATGTTTTACTCAATGTACTAGTGCTGTCCAATAGAACACTAAGTGACGTTGGGAATAGTCTATATCTGCAATGGCCAATACAGTAGCCACTAGATACATGTGGCTATTGAGTACTTGAAATGTGGCTACTGCAAAAGAGGAACTAATTTTTTTTTTTTTTCAATTACGTATAGTTACTGTAACCTTAAGTGATATAGTCAGGCTTCTTTCTAGACCATGTCACTTGTATCTTTTCCCGTAACTGTTTTCCTCTAGATCTGGAACTCATGCTTAAAATCCTACAGTGCTAGATGCAGGTGTTTGGTGACTAGCCTTCAATTAATAACAACACAAAATATGTTCTTTCCTCACTCTCCATCAGGTACAGCATCTAAAGCTGTGTTCCATTTTTTCCATTTCCTGTCAGGGAGGGTATCTTACAAGTGATTTGTACAAGCTATCAGCCATAGCATTAAGAATGAGCAACCTTAAAACAACACCAAATGTTACAATAGATTGGCTGCTTTGTTTTCATGTTGAAGTCTTTACTTGTGGTGCATGCTCCATATTACGAGATCTTTGGCTTGCTATATACTTGATGCCACAGAGCCATCGGTATCCACTATTGACAAGCTGTCAACAACATTGTAGAATTATCTGCCAAGTTGTATGTAATTTCTTGAGAACACTGTTTCCAGTAACAAGGAACAAAGCATATGCCTTGGAACTTGGCAGATATGAAATATTTTTCTGCTTCTTAATTTGTAATATCCCCATCTCATGTATGAATTGAGAAAGTCTTAAAGGACAAAGATGAAATAGTAGAATAAAAGAAATGAAGTAACATATATACCCTGAGATCAGTTTATATTTTTGAAAAAGCTTTCTTTAGGAGTGAAAGAAATGAATTCAATCAGATGAGGCTGTGAGGACTCTTTCAATTGGCAGAGACTCAATGTTATATTGCAGAAAAGAATTTAGTGTTGACACCTTGGGGGAGAAAAGGGAACACATCTTTTATATTCTTGCTTTCTGGTCCCCAGGAAGATGGAATTTTGTGCTCTCCTCATTTACCTAATGTCAGTGAACATTTCTTAGTCTTCTCTCTCAAAAGAACAACATATTATAAAATTATTGCTTATTTTAGGACAACATTGTGCTAACATACCATGAAAAGTAGCTTATCAAAACAAACATTTTTCTGACCCCAAATCCCATTTCAGAGTTCACAAAATGGGAACAGATAATCCTGGCCTCAGAATCTCAAAAAACAATTTCTTTTTTTTTTTTTTTTGAGACAGAGTCTCGCTCTGTCGCCCAGGCTGGAGTGCAGTGGTGCCATCTCGGCTCACTGCAAGCTCCGCCTTCCGGGTTCACGCCATTCTCCTGCCTCAGCCTCCCGAGTAGCTGGGACTACAGGCGCCCGCCACCACGCCTGGCTAATTTTTTGTATTTTTAGTACAGACGGGGTTTACCGTGTTAGCCAGGATGGTCCCCATCTCCTGACCTCGTGATCCACCCGCCTCGGCCTCCCAAAGTGCTGGGATTACAGGCGTGAGCCACTGCGCCTGGCCTCAAAAAACAATTTCTTTTGAAACACAATGTAACCTTTATAGATGTATGCTTTTCTTTTGGTCTGTAACGACTGACTTTTCAAAGCCATTTACTTACTTGTATTTTGAAATATTTGCCTGATATGTGAGGAAATAGGTAGATGACATGTTCTCAATAATAAGACCAATATAGCCATATGGTCAGAGACCATCACTGAAGGAACAATGGAAGATAAGCAATAACTGTGAAGGTCTTCTTATGTCTGTCCATCTCAGCTAAGAGAGTGTTGAAGAAAAAGTCTTCATCTGGGAAGTCAAAAGACCTGGGACAAACTCTGGTACTAACGTGTAGGTTGTTTATTTAATCTCCTCTATTTCTTTGTTTGCAAGGAAGGGATGATAACTTCTTTTACCCATATCTCAGTGCTGTTTGCACAAACATCAAATAAAGCAGTATTTGTAAAAATACTTAGGGATTTCTGTTGATTTAAAAATACTATGATTTGTGTACAGATAGCATTGCAGATATAAATTTTCAGCAGTCTAATGACATAGATAATGATAAGAAAGATATTTTTGAAGGAAAAAGAATAAAACCCCAGAGAAAGGCTGTAGGAGGAAGAAAGACATGGACAAGTTTTGCATTACATTTAATTATGGAATGTGGTAAAAGATTTCCCCAGGTCTGAGAGAGGGTAAATTATCAAATACATTATAGAATTAATTCCAGTAATAACTTTATTCTATAAATAAAATGGCATCCTAATTCAATTTGGATGTTGTTAAACTTTTCATAAACCAAGATGGTTTATATGCATTATATCTACAATCATGAAATCTAACTATAAGTAAAATCCGTATGTCAGTTTGAAAGGATAGTTTTCCAAAGGAAAGAAGATCCATAATGAAGTGTCCTGATTTTTCTTGGTGTATATTGTGCTTGGACTTAGCTCCCCAGTCAGGAAAACATGGTGTTGAGTTCCCATGTATCAACAAAGTACAAGCCATCACAAATCTTCCTGGGAAAAAAGTCTATGTGTGTGGCAATAATAATATAAGAAAAAAAAAAAGATTGTAAAATGAAAGGACAGAGTTTCCTGTTTGTTATTTTTCAAAATAATGACTGTGGGTTCTCTCCCCACAGAAAAGATGCTATTTATTTTTTAATGGTGAGCTGTTTCCCAGAGAAACAAAGTGGCATTCTGTCGACACCATATGGCGGCAGAAAAACAGATTCCACCGTGTTCCATTTGTTAGACTGTCTTATGCATTTCTGTATCCATAATTTATGTGGGGGCCTCTGTGATTGCCAAAATATTCAAATGGATTTCTCTTAGCAGGGCAGCCTGCATGGGGGGGAGAAAGGTTTTCAAAACAGCAGGACCTGAACAGTCTCCTGCTGCTCGGAGAAGAGAACACTTCCAAGCTTCTGTCCTTCTGGCGGCTTTCATTGTAATACTAATTTACATCCTTGGTTTAGGGACCATGTTTGCATTCAGGAAAAGCAGCTTATGTTCTTTTATGCTAATACAATCATACTTGAATTATCACCCACACCCTTAAAGTCATATTACTCCTTCTGCCTTGGTATAAGCAGAGAACCTGGCCTTTAAGAAATTAAAGAGCGCTAATACATGGCAGTGACTGAATGATACCATTTGAACACATTGATTCTGCAGCTGGTTTCCAAAAAGACATCTGAAGTGGTATAGATACATTAAAAATAGTCATGAAAGGCTTCCTTTGCTGTCTAAGCATATGATTACCGTCTATGTATTCAGAGGCTGTTTTCAGTGGAAGTCGAGTGGTATTCTCTGGTGCATAAATAGAAACATATCAAATACATGATACAGAATATAAAAAGGGTATTTGATGAGTCAGACTAATTGATGTTTTGGCAAAATGGAATGTCTGAATAAAGTTACATGTTCATATGCATACTTTAGAGAACAGTAATCTAAAACATAAGCATTCTATTATAAATAATTTTTGAAAAATTCTGGAGAATTTTAGATAACCCCGTCAGTAAACTTAGCCATTGCATGTTTTATTGTAGTGCATTAGGGGACCATCAAGGAATTTCATATGGAAAAAGAAAAACAGATGTAGGAAATACCATTTAATTACAGATGAAAGATATAGCAGTAATGCAGTAATATTCCTAGAAGGTTCTTTTCCTCAACCTGTACTAGAATGGCTAAAAGTATAGGCTACCAAAGAGATGGCTCATTATTTGCTGTTTTTAGGTATAGACAGAAGGTTTAGGCTTTGGACTATAAGGGATAGAACTAAGGGCCCAGAGACTGTCAATGATGCTCATTATTTTCAAAGCAATTTGGATAGACCCCTAGGAAGTGTTACTATTTTTCAGGATGAAGGGGAATGGAGGCACAACTGAACTCACTTTCCTGATGCTTTTTCTTGTGAAGAAGCAGAATTTGAATGGGCCCAAGGTAATGGTCTTGCTGGCCTAAGTGTGCTAAAAGCTTGCTTTCCCGTGAGGCAGCCTTCTAATGGAGGCCTGGAAGATAGTGAAATACAGAGAAGTCTCTCACTGGAGCTCACGAAGACAGAGTGATAGTTGGTCTATCCAAATAAAGTATGTGAGAACCCTATCTCTTATTTGATATTTAAAATATAAAACCTCTTGCCTGACATTTGACCTCTTGATAGGTCAAAATGTCAGGAGCAGAGTCAAAAGTAATCTCAACTGGTTTGCCACATTATTCGATGTCCTGTCACTTTGACCTGGTTCTAAATCTTGTTGTAATAGATGATACAACACTGACTAATTGCTCCACATTCCAGAATATTTGATTTGTGCATTGTTGATACCTGAGAATTGGTACATTTCTAAGAGCCTCAGTTCTATCAGGAAAGCTTATTGAACGAAAGGATCTGACTTTAGTCAGATCTATGGTTAGAACTCGAATTTCATACTTTCCCATTTTTCAATTAAAAAGTTATACATTCAATTAGACTGCATCTGTGAACCTGCTTTAGCAGTAATTAAGATGAACATTATGATATGGGTAATAAAAAGTAATAGTTTCCTCAATCTCTTGGGTTTTTTGAAATACATTTTCTCGATGGAAATCAAATTATTTTATTGCATAGAAGTGATTCCTCTTTATTCAATAGGTGAAGCGATGCATGGGCTATTTCTTGTACAACTACTAAAGCAGAATCATTAAGAATAAAGTTTAGTAAATAAAGTTATTGGGTGGCTGCTTTTTCACAAAAAGGTTTGGGTCTGTATTAAATTAACAGGAAATACATCTAGAGTTTTCTCTAACCTATCCTCACTGGAGAAAAGGAATGAAATGGCCTTATTCAAGGACATCCATTTGAAATCCATAAATATTTTATAAGGATGGAATAAATTGCTTATTTTCAAACAGGTGCTATTGTAAAAATTATTTTGATTTTTCTTTTGCCTCAGGGCCCTTGAACAAAATAACAATATATCATGTTCATAGTACTTAGACATTAGGTTATGTCTGTGTTTTCCATAATTGGCTCAGGCAGAGGGAGGCTCACACATAGGGTTTCTCTGCTGTCTCCTCAGTGTCTTCCTATAAGGAAAATCATGCCTTAAATAGGACCAGCGTCTCATTGCTCATTCTGCAAATTGTCAACTGAAATGGTACCATTTCCTTCAAGATAATGACAATAGATTGAAATGAATTCTGCCAACTTATTTGATAGATAATTTCCACCCTCCATCAACACATTCAAATGTTCTCTGTATTTTATGGGTGGTTTCACATTTGAACAACAGCAGAAACACTGTATTAGGAATTTTTTTTTTCTTTTTTATTTGTAATTCTGACTCATTTTTCTTTTGGATTGTAGGCTTTCTATAAGTAATGTGTATATTATGCAAGTTTAAGATGGAAAAATTTTCTCCTTCAAAGAAATGATGCAAGGAAAGATGGTGTCACTGTCCCACCACCTACTTATTTCTGATTGTATGTCTAGGGGAGGGAGGAAGCTGAGATAAGCCATCTATACTGCTTCTCTGTCTACTGTAAGACTAATGGTGCTCATTAATGAGGTAAGTAGTAAGCTGAGATCAGGGCCTGATCTGTGATCAGAATCAGAGATCAGTGAGTAGCCAAAGACATAATTTATCTCACAAAGAGCATTAAGATGTGTTTGAAGCCAAGGTTAGATCATTTTCTGGCCTTGGTCAGGTGGTCAATAATAAGAAAACACGGGAAAGTGAACCAATTTCTATGAATATGGAAGTCTTGGAAAAGATGTGCACAACCCTGGGTCTGATCACCATTTTCTTGAACACCTTGAGATCTGAATCCTTCTGATACAGACTTTTACGGAGCTAGTTTGAGTGGATTTCCATTCCTTGAAAACATATTTCCTGCCTTGGACAACCAAGGAGAAGTTGCCAGCTGGAGAAACCAGGTGACGAGGAACCAACAGAAAACGATGACAACACAAAGAAAACTATCCTGGGTATGTATGTGATTGCTGCCTCTCTGCTTACACCCTTCTTTAAGAGAATTGCCCCGTGATCAAACCAGGGAGCTCCATTGACCCCAAAGAAATGCAAAAACCAAGCTTGTTCAGTAAGATTCTTTGTTTTGGAAATTTGATCTAAGTGATACAGAAAATTATGCAAGCTTGTGGCTGAGTCGAGATAATTGTGATGCCAGAATAAAGATTCAAGTATCGCTGCTACTGCTCTTAAGGCTACTGAGGTTTCTGGAACTGGGCAGGTGGTCACATATGGTAGACTGCCTTATTGGCCCTGATTCTACATCTCTCTCTATCCAAATCCTTTGCCATGTAACTTTGCAATTCCTCCTACTAAAAGAGCGGGATATATTTCCCTTCTCCTAGATTTTGGGTTTGGCCATTTAACTTGCTTTGGCCAATAGAATGAGATAGAACTGACAGTATGCCAGTTTTGAATTAAGGCTTTAAATGGCCTTGAATATTTCTGCTTGCCCTTCAGTGCCTCTGCTACTGCAATAAGAAGAGCATGCCGGCCAGGCGCTGTGGCTCATGCCTGTAATTCCAGCACTTTGAGAGGCCGAGGTGGGTGGATCACAAGGTCAGGAGTTCGAGACCAGCCTGGCCAATATGGTGAAACCTTGTCTCTACTAAAAATACAAAAATTAGCTGGGCGTGGTGGCAGGCGCCTGTAGTCCCAGCTATTCAGGAGGCTGAGGCAGGAGAATCGCCTGAACCTGGGAGGCAGAGGTTGCAGTGAGCCGCGATCTCTCACCACTGTACTCTAGTCTGGCTGACAGAGCGAGACTCCGACTCCAAAAAAAAAAAAAAAGAAAAAAAGGCATGCCTCAGGTAGTCTGTTGGTTGAAGAAGTATGAAAGACACCTGGAACAGAACTAGTGCTATCACCTGACAGACCACAGGGAGAATTAGTCACTCCAGCCACTGCAGCTTGAAGTAGAGCTGCTCAGCAGAGCTCAAAGTCAATCAATCAAACCCCACCAAACCCACAAACTCATAAGCAACTTAATAATTGTTGTTATAGACACTGAGTTTTGTAATTGTTTGATATGCCGCAATAGCTAATTAATAGATAAGGCCTCAGGTCTGATCACCATTTTCTCGGATGCCTTGAGAGCTGACTTCTGATACAGCCTTGTTATGGGGCTACTTTGAGTGGATTTTCATTCTTTGAAAATCGTATATTCTGCCTTGGACAATCACACAAGGTCCTTCTGATAAATTTGTAGCAAGGAAGACCTGGTGGTAGAGTGCTGAGAGCTATCCCAGAGACTATAGCAGTTTCTCTCTTTATTTCCACATTCGCTTATGGAAATGATCTTTACATAAGAAAAAGTGGAACAAAAAACAAAAGCTGGGATTAAAAAAAAAACAACCCCGTCTCTTAGTGAAGGACTTGCAGCAACTGAAGCTACTTGAGGTAAGGAGTAGGTCCAAGAGCCTACTGTGGCATCTCCTTCCCAGTTTCAAGAAAACATAGAAGCAAATTATCATCAAAAGTTTCTTTGTGGTCCTAGAATTAAGATAACAGAAAGTTGACTACAGGATTTAAATGTTGGAAGACATCCGGCTTGGTACACCATCTTTGCCTGGCATGTGGAGTCTCTGGGAGTTCTGCCATCTCTGCATATTGGATGGTGTTGCCAATGCCTATACATAACTTTGTGACTTAACTTCCCTGCCTCAATGTTCTTCAGCCATGTTAATATCTTGAGTTTAGTTTTCTGCCCTGCAGCCATGTTGCTCTTAAACATGACTCATGTATCTCCCTTCTGATCCCATAAAATTTCATTCTTAAAGAGAGCATTTTAATTTGTCTTTTTAAAGCATCTCTGGAGAGCATATTTCTACTAATCCCAGGAAAAGTATGGGCTGAACCAATGAATAATTTAAGTCTAAATAACATTTGTTGTTTAACTTCTTAGATTATATCAATTTTACCTAATATTTCCAGCACAATTTAGGAACAGTATTTCATCTTGTAAGTGACATAATATCTTGCTTTTTTAGTTTTCCTTCATGGTGTTCTTAGTGTGGTAATAGAGTTGAAAGTGTTATATGATGTAGAAGAATTCTGACCTCCTTTGGGGCTGAGAGATCACACAGAGAGCAGGATACACAGGGCCAGTGATCAGTTCCCAGCGGAGCTAATTGATAAGGAACATATTTTATGAATGAAGTTACAAGATAAAAACTGAGACTAATGAAATACCCCAATGACTCCAAAGTAATTAAGGAAGGCATTCCATACACTACCTCTAATTAGATGCTGAGGCTGAGAATTCGCAATTGACTCCATATTCTCTAGCAGTGCTGACCCCTTGTTTAATACAACAAGTGAGAATATTCACAGCAAAGGAAAAGAAAACCTTCTTTCTAAGGTGACGAGGAGCCATTTAAGGAAGACTGTGGTGGGTACTACATAATTACAGCCACAGTCAACTTCATGCAGTTTATGTTTTTCGAATGATTCCTTCAGCCAAACAAGTTCAAGAGATGTTTTTAAAAATAACTTTTGTTGAGACAATTCTTTTTAGCTTTAAAACAATAATAATAATAAATAAGGTCATGCATCTTTTCAAAATGTGTTTACCTATTTTCTCTCATCAGTATTTTCAACTTCTGAATCCAATCTTAGTTTCCCTTGACCATTATTTCTATAAAGTGTCATACTCCAAACTTTCATTGATTCTTACACACTGAATAATGTGTAAGCTCACTTTTCAGCTCTCTTTCCAAACCTTCTCCTTTAAATTACCCTCACTGCGATTTTATTGTTTCTCAAAGATGTGGTGAAACCATCATAGACAGAAACCAAAGAACGGATTTTAATCAACAGGAATTTATTGAGTATCTAGTGTTTGTTCTAGATATAGTGAAATAGCAGAATATTTGACCAGGTACCCATGATCTAGAATTTTGCAGTCTATTCTTAGAAATGAAACACACAAAACAGAAGTCAATAGCATATGACAGAACATAATTACGTGTGGCACTGTGCAGCAGAATTTATCTTGTAGGAGTTCGGATGAGAGGAGATGAATGAGGCCTGAAATACCAGCAAAGGCTCCAGAGTGGGAGGAGAAACTCAGAGGGTATATAAAAGGTGCTGAATTTGGACAAGTGGAATGGAAAGTCGTGGGCAGCAAATTGAGTGACTGAGCCAGGAAGGGAAAATTAGCACGAGGCATTTGTGCCAAAGGGAGAAATGTGTAATTGATGTTTGTGAGTTTGTCTCCATCATGGCTTTTATGAAAATGAAACCAGAATCACATATAATTATTTCACTTTCAATAAATCATGGCCATTTTCCCAAGTTCTGAATAATTTGAGATGGCAGAATGGAATAATTTAAAATCACTTTTAATTCTTCTTCATTAAAAAAAATCTTCCCTAAATAGAATCTTAGAGTAGACAGAGACCCTGGGAGATATCTATTTAGATTCCTCCAAATGCAGAAACTTATTCTTGAACCATTGATGGGTACCTGAGGTCTATGAGCCCCCAGTATGTTATATATTAATATTTTGTTAAATATACATGTTTTCACGTAGAGATGTTTCATAGTCGTAGTGCATTTCTAAAGGCATTAAAAATCCTCACAAGGCTTAAAAACCAGTGGTCTATTACATCTTTTCCAGGTAGCTATCCACAAACAGTGACAGGGAGTTTATTGCCTACCAGTGTAGCCGGCTGTAATTTCAACAGCTCTAATGTCCCCTAAGTTACACTGACCACCAATCAGTGGTCCTGGTTGGGCCCTTCTTTTTGGGTATCCAGGAGAATTGATGTATAGGAGTCAGTCAGGATGAGCCCATGTGCCCATTGCTCAGGTATTTCTATCTTCACCACTGACAACTTTTGCATGTTCCGGTTCAGAAGAATCTGAACATGAGTTTTCTATTAGGTCGGTGCAAAAGTAATTGCGGTTTCTGCCATTACTTTTAAAGTTGTCAATGGCAACTGCTAATGACAGAAATTGCAATTACTTTTGCACCATTCTAAATATTTGTTTTTATTCCCTTTATAAAAAAATATTAAAATAAAGGATGAAACCTAGGAGGCCATTTGACTTACCTCACAGAACTCAGCCTACAGGCAAAGCAGCATGAAATTGGTAATGAACAAACACATCAGCTTCCATTGCTTTGCTTTCCTTCATTAAGTAGATTTGAGAGGCATTTTTACTTTGGGTTCATAAGTTTTCTCCCTAATGAGTAGGAGCTGTTTAAAACAACATCCTGATTTAGAGTTTCCCCTGACTTATTTTTTAATGTGATATATTAGAAATCCCCTTTTCACTTATATCTTTCAGAAGTGGTGCCAATAATGTGGGGGACAATAAATTATTCAAAGTGGGGGTAGCCATATAACAAACAGGAGAGCCAGCAGTTTATGAAAGATAGCTGCACACAAATGCACATTTGCCAGCAAAGTCGACAACAAATCAGAAATGATATATGACCTTTCTCACATGCCTGCAACATTTAATATCTTTGAAAGACATTAAAGTTGTCAAATATTTAGACCACAATCTGAGAGGCAGTGAAAATACAGTATCTCTGTTTACAAACAGGCTTAGAGCCTGGTTACAATTACCTGTGCCTGTCTTTTCCTAAAGGGTAAACATCTTTCACATATTTGTTTGCTAGTATACTTTGCTTTGCAAAATAGTTGTGATCCTGCGGTGGTGTTTGTTAATCCAATCCCATTTTTCCATAAACTAGAATTATCATTTCAGAGGCAGTTATACTTCATTTATGTTCAATTTCTCATTCATGTAGGCTCCTACCATTTACATTTGTTTGCCCCTTCCCCCTGCCCTATGTTTAATATTGAATGATTTATAAGCAGCTACTTTCATGCATGGAAGAAACTGTTTCTTTTTAAGCAGGTAGTACTGAATATTTTTGGAAGTAAAATACAGTTTTCCTAATTCTTTTGCTTTCTAAGTTGGATTTTAGTTTAGGTTCATCTTTTATGATTTTTATTATAACAATTTAAACATAAAATAATAGAATAGTATAATGAACACATCACCCAACCTTAACAATTATTAACTCATGAACAACTGTGTTTTAACTATACCCTCATATTGCTTTATTTTAACTTGAAGCAAATACTAGTTGTCATATTATGTCATTTAACCTATAAATATTTCAGAAATGCTAAAACATAAAATTATAAAAATATGACTATATTACCATAATTACACAGGAGAATAATTAAAACATCAATATTACCAAATATCATCACTGCTGAAATTGTCTTGATTGTCCTGTCATATTTTGTTGTTAGCAGTTGATTTGTATCAGGATCTACATCACATCCTTTTGTTGTAATTGCTTTGATGTGTCACTTGGAAATGTTTTATTTGTTTATCTTCTATCTCTCCCCTATTTTTCCTTGTATTTTATTGGGGAAAATACTGGTTGCTTTGTCCTGTAGAGCTTCCTAAAGTCTGTGTTTTGCTGCTTAAATCCATGTAGAATAGTTTAACATAATTGCTTAATCCCCCACTTTGAATAATTTATTGTCCCTCCACATTATTGGCACCACTGCTGAAAGATGTAAGTGGAAAGGGGATTTCTAATATATCACATTAACATGTATTCTTGTTCCCTGTATTTCTTACACATTGGTATTTTGGTGTAGAGGCTTGATTAGATGCAGGTTCAATTATTTGGCAATAATACTTCATAGGTGATGCTAAGTCCATCCATCAGGAAGACGTAAGTCTGGTCATCTCTCTGTGATGCCATTGATGGTCACTGCCTAGATTCATTAATTATCAAGTATACAAAAATGATGTTAAAGTTTAGTTCATATGGAAGAGACAGGTTAAATATTTGGCTTCTCTTTAGTTACCTGTTTTCAATAGAATGAGTTATTCCCTAGCAACCTCCAAGGTGACAAATGAGAGTTTTTGTCAATATTTTTTGAACTCACAGATTGAAGAACATTTTATGTTTCAATGCATTGCAGTTATTATTCTTAATGATGGTATCAAATTGTATCATCATTGTGCAGGAACTTCTTTAAGCTGGCTCCTCAGAAGTTTTGACATGATGCCAGTAGTTTTGTTTTGTTTTTAAATTAAATTGAATTAAATGATTATTTTTAATTGACACATAATCATTGCACATACATAGTTACAGGCAACATAGCAATGTTTCAATACATATAATGTATTGTAATCAGATCAGGGTAATTAGCATATTCATCGTCTCAAACATTTATCATTTATTTGTGGGAATTTTTGGGTGACTTTTTTGCTTTCTGGTTTGATAAAGTATTTCAGATTCATTTTGTACCTGGAATCAGCAATTTTTCAAAGATCTTTGGAGACCACAATCTAGACATTCAGGGTGCTTACTGGTAGTGAATTTGTTATTTTTCTAGGTGTTTTCATTGAACGGAATTCGGAAATACTTTTTAAAAAGAGAAAATATGAATTCATTCTAATATTTCCAATACTAATTCAAAGATGCAAGAATTTTACTTAAACTCATCACTGTTGTGCTCTATCTCATTAATCCTATGTCCCCAAATCTCACATTTCAAAGGAGAAAAAAATCAATACTCATTTGTTAGATCTCACAAAACTTGCACACCATGCACGGAATAACATGAACACTAAGTGCTTATTCTTTGGAGGTACAAAGATAAATAATAGACAATTTCTCCTTAAAGACATTTAAAACATTGTAAAATATTAATTCAACAAACACATAATGACCTTCACCATATGGCTGGCCACATTTCAGATGCTTGGATTCAGTGGTAACAAGACAGAGAAGTTCTCTTCCATTATGGAGCTTATTTTTTTTACCACAATTATTATGATGGCATAAACAAGAGGGGGAGAGTGTGAGGATGATAAAAATGGATTGACTCAGGGTCCTATAATTAAATAAATACATAAATTGAACCCTGTTCTCAGGCTGTGGGACAGAGCACAACACTGATTAGTTCAACTTCCCTACATTTCATATTGACATGACAGTGTGGTAACTGTCCCTGGTCTCCAAGAGTAGAGAAGTAGGAAGATGCCAGTATTAGGTCTTGACCCTGATATTTGGTGTTTAGAAGCCAAATACGTTTTTTTCTTTCCTTCAGATCAGCTAAAATGTTGACTTAGAAGCATATACTTTAATTTTTAAAAAGCGATTCTCTCCTATACATTGTATTAGCTGCATTGATTATAAATTATATACAATAAACTACACATATTTAAAGCATAAGATTTGTTCAGTTTTGACTACTTTAATCCCTTCTCTTTGCCCCTGCCTGCTCTACTCATTCCCAGGGAATCACTGATCTGCTTTTAGTCACTATTGATTAATTTATGTTTTCTAGAATTTTATATAAATAAAATCAACTTTTTGGGAGGATTAGCTTCTTTCACTCAGGAATACTTATTTTCTCCATGGTGTAGCATGTTCATTCCTTGTTATTGTGTTATTGTTGAGTAGTATTCCATGAAATGTTATCCTTGAAATGATGTTTCAGTTTGATCATCCACCTACTTGGTATCCACCCAAATGTTGGCTATTTGGATTCTTTCCCACCTGGGCATATTACAGTATAAATAAAGCTAATACAAATACTCAAGTACAAGTCTTTGAATGAACAGATATTTATATTCTCTTGAGTAATTATCTAGAAGTGGAATCGGTGTGTCATGTGTTAGATGCAAGTTTCTTTTAAGAAATGCCGATCTGGGCCGGGCACGGTGGCTCATGCCTGTAATCCCAACACTTTGGGAGGCCGAGGCAGGTGAATCACTTGAGGTCGGGAGTTTGAGACCAGCCTGGCCAACATGGAGAAACCCCGTCTCTACTAAAAATACAAAAATTAGCCAGGTGTAATGGCAGGCGCTTGTATTCCCAGCTACTCGGGAGGCTGAGGCAGGAGAATGTCTTGAACCCGGCAGAGGATGTAGTGAGCTGAGATCATGCCACTGCACTCTAGCCTGGGTGACAGAGTGAGACTCCGTCTCAAAAGGAAAAATAAAAGAAAGAAAGAAAAAAAGAAAGAGAGAGACAGAGAAAGAGAGAGAGAGAAAATAAATGCCCATCTGTTTTCTGACGGGGTTGTGCTATTTTGTATTCCCACCAGCAGTGTATGAGAGGTAGTTGATCCACATCCTGCTACCACTTGGTATGATCAGTCTTTTTCTTTTTTTTTTGTCATTCTAATATACATATAATGGTATCATGTTGCACATTCCTAATTTATATTCCCCAGTGACTGATGATGTTGAAAACCTTTTTCATGTGCTTATCTGCCATCTTTATATCACCTATAGTGAAGTATCTGTGTATGTATTTTGTTCATAGTCTATTGGATTGTTTCTTATCTTAATAATTCTTCATGTATGGGAATATTAGTCCTTCATCAGACAAGTGATTTTCAAACATTTTCTCTCATTCTATGGCTTAACATTAAATACTCTTAACAGTGTCTTATAAGAGTAAAAATTTTTGGTTTTGATGAAGTCTAATTTATTGATATTTTCTTTTAGAATGTGTGCTTTTTATATACTACTTAAAAAACATTTGCCAAACTAAAGGTCCCTGAGATTTCCTCCTAAGTTTCCTTTCTATAGATTTTATGGATTTAGGTTTCACACTTACTTCTATAGGCTTAGAAATTTTCTTAATTTAGTTTTAAAGATTTAGATTTTATATTTAGGTTTACAATCCATTTTGAGTTAATGTTTACTTACAGTGGAAACATTGAAGCTTTTTGTTTGCCTACAGATATTCAGTTGTTCATGCATCATTTGTTGAAGATACCATAATTTATCTACTGAATTACCTTTGCAAAGCTTTTTCAAAAATCAAGTTTACATATATGTGTGTGCTTTTTACAGGACTCTTCATTCTATTTCATTGAACTATTTGTCTAGTAAAACAAAGTCTTGGTTGTAGTAGCTTTATGATAAGTTTTAGAATCAGGTATTATTAATTCTCCAACTATATCCTTCTTCAGAGTTAATTTGGCTATTATTGATCCATTGGTTTTCTATATAATTTTAGAATTGGTTTTCTAATTTCTGCAAAGAAAATCTTGCTCTAATTTTGGCAAAGATTTTATTGAACATGTAGATAATTTGGGGAGAAATGAGATCTTAACAATAGTGAGTCTTCCTGAATGCAGTATATCTCTGCATTTATTTAGATATTTTTTAGTATCTCTCACCAACGCTTTGTACATTTCATTGTATTGGTTTTGGACATATTTTGTCAGAAATTTCCCCAAGTATTTTATAGTTGTTGCTGCTATTCTAAAAACAAATTTTTAAAATTTATTTTCAAGTGTTTTTTGCTAGTATATAGAAATAAAATTGTTGATCTTGTGTCTTGTAACTTTTCTAAACACAATTTTTTAGTATTAATACATTTTAAAAAGATTTTATAAGATATTTTATGCAGATATCTGCAAATGAAGACATTTTGCCACTTCCTTTCAAATCTAGATGCACTTATTTCTTTTTCTTGTTTTACTGTACTGTGTTGAACCTCCACTAAAACATGGTAAAGAATTAGTGAGAATTTCAGTGCTTGTCTTGTTCTCAGTCTCTGGAGGAAAGCATTCATTCTTTCACTATTAATTATGATATTAGCTGTAGATTTTTTATAGATTACCCACTATCAGGTTGGGGATGTTCACTTCTATTCCTATTTTGATAGGAGGTTTTATCAGAAATGGATATTGGATTTTATAAAATGCTTTATCTATGTATATTGAGATGACCATATGAATTTTCCTTTTATTTTAGTAGGGCGAATTACAATAATGGGTTTTTAGATGTTAAACTAACCTTGCATTCCTGGGGTATGTCCCACATGGCCATAGTGCTTTCTACTATTTATACAGATGGTGTTGTACTGATAATGACTTCACTTAATGTTTTTTTAACTTTCCAGTGGTGTGAAGGTGATATGCATTCAGTAGAAACTTTACTTCAACTTTTGAATTTTGCTGTTTTCTCCTGCTAGTGATATGTGGTATGATATTCTTACTTAAATGTTTATCATTTTATTATAAAATAGTATTTGTGTTAGATAATTTTGTTCAACTGGAGGTAAACATAAGTGTTTTGAGTACATTTAAGATAGTCTGGGCTAAGCTATAATGTTCAGTAGGTTAGGTTTATTAAATGCATTTTTGACATGGTATTTTTGACTCACTCAACATTGGGTTTATTGGGACATAAGCTCATCATAAGTCAAAGAGCATTTGCATATTATTTAATTTATTTTGCTGTTTTTTTAAACGCTTGCATCTATGTTGATGAGGGATATATGTATGTCCTTTCCTTGTCATGTCTTTGTCTAACTTAGGCATCAGGGTAATGCTGGCTCATAAGGTGAGTTGGAAAGTATTACCTCTTCTTCAATTTTCTGGAATAGTATATGTAAACTTAGTACTATTTCTTCCTTAAATGACTTATGGAATTAATCAGTGTATCTATCTGAGCTTGGAGTTTCCTGTAGTTAAGTTTTTAACTACAAATTCAATTTTCTTGCTATAAAGCTAATCAGGTTACCTACTTCTTCTTGAATGCGCACTGGTAGTGTGTGTATTGCATTGTACTATTTAATTTTATCTAAGTTGCTGAACAAATTAGTATACATTTGTTTATATAATCCTTTATTATCCTTTAAATGTCTGTAGATTTTGTAATGGTGTCATCTCTCTCATTCTTGATATTGTTAATTTGTTTTTTCTCTCTTATCAGTCTGGCTAGAAGTTTATCAATTTTATTGATCGTCTCAAAGATCTAATGTTTCAATGTAATTTCATTTATTAACAATTGTTTTTCTTCCTTGATTTTTCTCTCATCTTTATTATTTTTATTCTTCTGCTTACTTTGAATTTCATTTGTGCTTCACTTTTTTCTTTAGGTAATAACTTTTCTTCTTTGCTAATATAAGCACTTCTTTTCATGAATTTCACTCTAAGTAAAGCTTTAGGGTCATTCCACAACTTTTGATGTGTTGTGTTTGAAGGTTCATTCTGTTCTAATTTTCCTTTTGTTTTCTTCTCTGACCCATTGACTGTTTAGAAGTGTGCTATTAATATTTAGTTTTCATATATCTGAATTTTCCAGATACCTTTCTGTTACTAATTTCAAATTAAATTCCAGCTTGGTCATAGAACATACTTTGTGTGACTTAAATATTTTTAAGTTTACTGAGATTTAGTTTATGATCTAGAATATGATTGATTATGCTAAATATTCTGTGGGCACTGGAGGAGAATGCATTTTCATCTCTTGTTGAGTGGGATAATATCAATTAGGTTAAGTTAATGCTAGTGCCTTTTAAAATCTTCTCTACCCTTACTGATTTTCTATCTATTCTATCAATTATTGAGAGAGGGGTGACAAAATCTCAAATTATAACTATGAATTTATCTATCCTTAATGTTCTATGTAGTAATTTTATTTCAAGTTATTTTGGTGAAGGTGATAGTGTAAAAATATAACCAGAGAATTTTAATTGGAAAATAAAGTGTGTTAGGTTGGTGTTTGTTCTATGTATTTTGAAATTCTATTATTAATTAGGCACATAAATATTTAAGATTATTATGTTCTCTTAATGAACTGATTTCTTTTTTATGGCTTAAACAATAGAAATGTATTCTCTCATAAATAAATGTGAGGCTAGAAGTGCTCTGGATACTAGAAGTCCAAGAAAAAGTTGCTGGCAGGGTTGATTTCTCCTGAGGCTCTCTCCTTTGCTTTCAGAAGCCCACCTTTCCCGTGTGTCCTCACATGGCCTTTGGTCTGTATAGGTCCATCTCCCGGAGTCTCTTCCTTTTCTTACAAGGACACCAGTCATATTGGATTAGGACCTCATCTTTATGACATGAATTGATTGCTGAGTCATCATAAAACGACACTCTTTACCCTGTAATTTCTTTGCTCTAAAATACACTTCATTTGATATTAACTTAGCCATTCAGCTCTCTTTTTTACTGATGTTCACATGGAATATCATTTTTATTAGTTTTACTTTTAATCCTTTGTTTCTTTATTTTTAAAGTGGACTTCTTATAACATATAACACAGTCTATTCTTCCCTCTCTACCTTTTAATAGTGTTTAGACCATTAACATAAAATGTGATTATTGTTTTCATTAGATTTAAATCTACTATCTTGCTATTTGGTTTCTATTGTCTCCTCAGTTTTTGTTCTTCTCTTTCCCTCCACCCCCAGCCTCTCACCCTTTGAGCTTCTTTTGAATGAAATATTTTAAATGATTCCAGATTATCTTCTTTATTGGAGTCTCGAGTTACATGAATACTTGACTGCTTGAAGTTGTCTGACAATTCACTTATGCTGTGTTAATGTTTTTGATCTTTTTCTCTATGTGTTTCTCTTTGGATAATTTCTATTGCTATGTCTTCAATTTCACTGTTATTTGTTTGCAATTTCTAATCTCCTTTTAATATTTTTCATTTCTTGATCCAAATTTCTGTTGAGTCTCAATTGACTCCAATCTGAAAAACATCCTTTAGCATTTTGTTGTTGTTGTGTAACTCTGCGGATGAAGAATTCTGTTTTCATTTGAGAATGTCATTTCCTCTTCATTTAATAAAAATTACTTATTTGGATATAACTTCATAATTTCAGCAAATGTATATGCTATTACAAACAATAGTTGTACACACTTATCAACATTTACTTGATCTAGCCTAGGACCAATATTGCATTTAGCATTCATGCCTTTTGAGTGTCTTTAACCTGGGGCTTTTTAGCTTTGAGATGTTCACAATTTTGGAGAAGAAAATATTCCCTATTTTGAATATGGTTGATGTTTTATCATAATTAATTTAGTTTATGCATTCCAGGCTACAATATTACATAAGAGACATTGTGTTATTTTCAGGGTATTATATCTGGGGCATGTGATGGCCATTTACACCCTCCTTGGTGATATGAATTTTGTTCACCCAGCCCAGGAGTTATCTGGATTCTCCAGTGTATAATTTCTATTTTTTCGTATGACTAATAAGAAATCTATATCATACAAATATCCCAACCTCCATCATAATCTCTCACATCAGACTGATGATTCTTGCCTGAATTGATTTTCATTTTCACAACTGCACAATATTTTCCAACTCCAGCACTTTTTACATATTGACCTGCCAGCCCTCTTCCTTCTATTGTAGAAAACACACACTTTCTTTTCTCTTCTTTTTTCTTTTCTTGCCCTTCTTTTCTTTTTCCTTCTTTCTTTCCTCCCTCCTTCCCCCCTCCTTTATTCCTCTTATCCTCTTCCTGCCATTTTAATTAATTAATTAACAATCACTAGAAAGTTATTTATTTCTACTTCTTCCTTCCTGTATTTTATAATTCAATACTGAATTATTTTGCTGTTCATTATGTTTTAAATTTGGTTAGTGGAATTCTATTTAGTCTGTCTACTTTGTTTTTCTTATATCACCTTTGTTTTTGACAACTTTTTCCACTGAATATGTTGAAAATGTTTATTGTTTTTGTATCTCATAGATGTTGTTCCATTGTCTTTTGGCTTCCATTATTTTTATGAGAAGTCATTTATATTCATATTGTTAATTTTCCGTAAGTGCCATTTTCTTCTGTTTTCAGAATTTTCTCTTTGTTTTTGGTTTTGTTATTTGACTCTGATATTATTAAGCATGATTTTCTTTGTAATTGTCTTTCTTTCAGTTTCTAAACTTATATATGGAATTTTCTATACAATTTGGGAAATTTTCAGTCATTTTTTTGCTTCTCCAATCTTTTACTCTTCTAAGTTTCTAATTGCAGATTGTTTGATATTGTTTTATAGGTGACTGAGGCTCTGTTCCTGTTTTCTAAAAAACCTTGGTTATATGAATTAGGTAATTTAGTTTGATATGTTTTTAATTATCTTAACTTTTTGTTCTTTAATCACCAATCTCTCTTAATCCCATTTAGTGAATGAAAATTTTAATCAAACTACTCTAATTTTCATTCTAAAAATTTGACTTGATTCTTCTTTTATTCTCATATATCTGTTTAATTACATGACCATATTATTCTTTAAGCCTTCGAACATATTTGTAAGAGTGTCTTTCAAGTCCATTTTTGCTAATTCCAACATCTGGATTACTTCACGATATTTTGCTATTGATTACTTTTTCTATCGACTATGGGTCATATTTCCCTGTTTCTTCTGATGTCTAGTATTTTTTTATAGTATACTAGACATTATGGATGATATAGTGTAAAAATTCTGGGTTCTTTCATCATCCTCTGAAGCATGTTTATTTTTTGTTCTTCCCGGCAGTTAACTTAGTGCTATGGATGGAATTTTTATGTCTCACCAAATTCATATGTTGAAATCCAATCCCAATGTGATCGTATTTGGAGACAGGGCCTTTGGAAGGTAATTATATCAGGAGAGTGGAGCCCTCATGAATGGGATTAGTGCCCTTATAAGAAGAGGCCAGAAAGCCAGCTAGCTCTTTTTCCACTGTGTCCGGATACAATGAGAAGTCATCAGTCTGCAACCTGAAAAAAGGCCTTCACCCAAACCCAGCCATGCTGGTGCTATGATACATGCCATCCAGCCTCCAGAAATGTGAAAAATAAATTCCTGTTGTTAATAAGCTTCCTAGTTTATGGCACTTTGTTATAGAAGCTTGAATTGACTAAGATATTTGGTTACATTCAAACTCCAAACTGTGTCTTCCATGAGATGGTTAGCAGCTGGAATCTCTGCTTAGTTCTTTTTGCCTGCCACCTATTGCTTTCCTTTGGGCCCACGGCATTTCCCCAGATAATCACAGCTGGGGCTTAGCTTAACTAAGGATTTGGGCAGAGTTTATATACAGATGTGGGGCTTTCTGTCTGTGGCTGTGTGACTTCTTCCTTTCTCCTCACTTTAAAAGTAGCTCAGGAGTCCTAACCTCCATTCTCAGACTTCTGAAACGAGCACCACTGTGACTTTCAGCCTGAGTTCCTGCAGAACTATGCTATACTTACTGAGATTTCTCAGGAGAAGGGCCATTAAATGCAAATCTTACCCAGAGCATTTATCTTCTTTTAAGTGGCAGGTTCCTTTTCAGCTACTGGCTAATTTGGCTGCTCTTCTGTACTTTCAGATTCTTTATATTTTATGCAGAGTTTGTAATTATTACCATATAGAGGAATTCGTCCAATACAAACTACCTTCCCATTAGCAGATGTGGAACTTCTTTTCTTCTATGCTAACCCCACTCGGGCTATTATTCCCTTCACCCTACTAATAATGCTCTCATCAAGGTCCCTAGTATCCTCCATATTGACAGATTCAATGGTCATTGTCAGTCCATTTGTTATTTGATATATGTAGAATATGTAGCCTTGGCATTTCTTTTCTTCTTCTTGAGCTTTTTTACTTGGTGTCAAGACATGATGCTATTTAATCTACTTCAATTCCACTGGTTGCTTCTTCTCAGTGTCCTTTTCTTTACCAAAGTCATATTCCTACCACAACATTTTGGATGGCACCGGGATTCAGAACTGGTACTTCTCTGTTTCTCTACCTACAGTCACATCTAAGGTGACTTCATCTAGTACCATGGTTTTAAATGCTATGTAAAGTTTTTGAGATTATTGTCGTTATATCTGACCAGATCTCTCCCCGAATTCCAGTTTAATAAATATCACTATTTTCTTAAAATCATCCCTTGGCATCTCAAACTTATTCTAAGTCTGAACTGTTGGCCTTTTCCGCAAAAGGCCTTTTTCTTCTCTCCTTGGTAAAAATTAACTATTCATGCTGCTTCTTATTAACGAAACCATAGAATAATTTGAGACTCCTAGTTTTTATGCAAATACCACATCAAGTTCCCCTGAGAATTTTCTCTGCTTTCCTTCAAAATGCATCCAGATTCTGGCCACTTTTCTTGTTCTTCTCTGTTACCAACCTAACCCAAGACATTATTAGCTTTTGCCAAGATTATTATAAATTCTTAGTTCAACTTTTTTCTTGTTACTTGCACTATTACAGCCTTACACAGTAACCAGAGTAATGTTTTAAAAACCTAAGTTAATGTCTCTGTTTTTCTCACAATTATCTAATGGCTGGCATTTGCATCTCAATCTCATTTGAAATGAGATCTGAATTCCTTGCCATTACCTACAAGTCCCTGTGTGCTTCTGTCTCCCCAATAAGCTCTTTTATAATCTCATACACGACATCTTATCTATACAGCATTCCTTTTACTGAAGCTACTCTTGTCTCCTTGCTGGGCCTTTGTACTTGCTGTTTCCTTTGATTTGAACACTGTTTCCCTAACAGTGTTTGCTTCATCATTCATTTATCTAGATTTCTGCTTCAGTGTCACTCCATTAGAGAAGCATTCCCTGTTTTTTTTTTTTCTATTTAAAACAGTACCTTTATTATTCTCTATTCTCTTACCCTGTTTTGTAAAGCTTCATGACATTGATTTTGGCAATGGTTTCTTAGATATGACACCAAAAGCATAAGCAACAAATGCAAAAATAGACAAATGGGACTATATCAAACTAAAAAGCTTCAGCCCAGCAAAGAAAACAATCAACAGAGTGAAAAGGCAACCTACAGAATGGGAGAAAATATTTATTAGCCATTTATTGGATAAGAGGTTAATGTGTAAATATATAAGGAACTGTTATAACTCAATAGCAAACAAACAAATAAACACACTCATCTAAAAAATGGGCAAAGGAATTGAATAGAGACTTCCCTGAAGAAAACACTAATGGTCCACAATATGAAAAGATGTTCAACATTACTAATAATCAGAAAATGCAAATCAGTGTCACAATGAGATAGCACCTCACACCTGTTAGAATGGCTATCAAAAAAACAAAAGACAACAGTGTTGGCAAAGACGTGGATTAATTACAACCCTTGTACATTTTTGGTAGGAATGTAAATTGGTGCAGCTCCAATGGAAAATAGTATGGAGGTTCCTCAAAAACCAAAATGCAACTGCCATGTGACCCAGTAATTCTACTTCCAGGTATATATAGCCATAAGAATTGAAATCAGGATCTTGAAATGCTATCTGCACACTGCTCCCATCCTTGTACATTGCAGCATTATTCACAATAGCCAAGATTTGGAAACACCTTAAATTTTTATCAGTGGATGAATGGATACAGAAATATTATTCTTTTTTTGTGAAAAAGGAAAATGTATCATATGCAACAACACGGACAAACCTGAGGACATTATGTTAACTAAGATAAACCTGTCACAGAAGGACAAATACTGCATGATTCCACTTATATCAGGTATCTAAATAGTCATATTCACAGAAGCAGAGAGAGAATGGTGGTTGCCAGGAACTATTGGGAAGGGGAAATCTGGGTTGCTGTTCAACAGGTATAAAGTTGCAGTTATATAAGATGAGTAAGTTTTAGAATCTGCTGTACAATATTATGCCTAAACATACATACATATTTATATATATACACATACGTATATATGTACCATATTTGTTTGGTTTATTTAGTGTCTATCTTCCCTGCAACAAAAATGTAAGCTCCATATGCAGAAGCACTAGCTATGTTTTGTTCATTGCAGTATATTCAATATCTCAGTTAGTGCCTAGGTCATACGTAGGTGTTCAATAATATTTGTGGGATGAATGGATGTGGGGAGAGGGAGTGCAGTGAGGAAATAAAAGAGGGCCAGGAGAAGTGACAACTGAGGCAGAGGCAAGACTATAGAATTCTGCAAACCATGTAAGCATGTTTCTTTTCTTTGGTTAAAGCAATGCATAGTCATTGAAGTATTTTAAACAACAGGACAAATGTAATCAAATTTAGGTTTTGAAAAAAAATCCCACTCTGGTCTGCAAAGTGTATGAACACTAGGGCAATAGTTCTCAGTCCCAGACTAATTAAATCAGACCCTCTAGGGAGGAAGCCCAGGCATCAGTAATTTCTAAAGCTTTTCAGGTGATTCCAATGCACAGTCAAGACTAGAAAGTAGTAGTATGACAATGTGGCAATTCCTCAAGGATCTAGAACCAGAAATACTATTTAAACCAGCAATCCCATTACTGGGTATATACCCAAAGAATTATAAATCATTCTACTATAAAGACACATGCACATGTATGTTTATTGCAGCACTATTCATAATAGCAAAGACTTGGAACCAACCCAAATGACCATCTGTGAAAGACTGCATAAAGAAAATGTGGCACATATACACCATGGAATACTATGCAGCCACAAAAAATGATGATTTCATGTCCTTTGCAGGGACACGGATGAAGCTGGAAACCATCATTCTCAGCAAACTCACACAGGAACAGAAAACCAAACACTGCATGTTCTCACTCAAAAGTGGGAGTTGAACAATGAGAACACATGGACACAGGGAGGGGAACATCACACACTGGGTCCTGTCAGGGGGTGGGAGGCTAGGGGAGGGATAGCATTAGGAGAAATACCTAATGTAGATGACAGGTTGATGGGTGCAGCAAACCACCATGGCACATGTACACCTATGTAACAAACCTGCACGTCCTGCACATGTATCCCAGAACTTAAAGTATACTTAAAAAAAAAAAAAAGAAAGTAGTATTTAAGAGTAAGATTCCTGATATAGCAGGACATACAGTATTCAAAATATAGGTGGAGGGATTTCTTGTTTCAGCTTTGATATGTTAAAATTGGAAGTTATTACTCTTGTCCTTACAATAAGAGGAAGCTATACAAGCTGAAAATCATGACTTTCTTAGTTCCGTCAGAGAACTAAGGTTGCAGGACAGACAACCACCCTGAAATCTGGAGCATATCTGGGAGACATATCAACTAAGATCAACTTACATGGAGCAGAAACTGCTGGGACCACAACTGGTAGAAATGCTTAAATAGTAATTTTGACAGATTGCTGGAGTCTATGTCTAGACTTGCATGAGAATGGGACGCTCCTGGGGGCAGCAGTCATTAGGGATTCACATAGTTTCCCAGGGTTTCTTCTAGGGACCCTACCATTTTCTCATGGGGAGAAGCTGTGAAATCTTCCTACATGGCCCTGGCAGGCAGAGACGTGGAAGAAGAAATAGTAGCCATGGTGAAGTTCTCCTAAACAAAGGCCTAATCTCCAGGGTGATGAACTTCATTAGAGGGTAATTTTGAAATGTTATCCCAGCTGGGGGAAGGCAACTCTGCCCCACTGATGTCTGATCAAACCCTTACTGTCTTACCTAAGGGAAAATGAGTAAGAGCCTAGTGTTTAAAGGTAACTAGAGACACGATAAAATTTTAAAGACTTTATTTGAACAAACGGTGATTTATCAGTTGGGAAGCACCAAACTGAAGGTGGCTTGGATTCCCCCAAGGGTACACAAGGAGAGGGCTTTTCTGCGATGAACTCAGAAACAATGTAAATAAAATAGTTGATTGGTTACAGTTATGAAATGGCCTTATTTGGTCTATCCCATTGGAAAGTCCTTAGGTGTATAGCTATAAGTTAGCTGACATCTTCTGATTAGTTGATCTTAAATTTCCTTTTTCTTTAATTAGGCACTTACAAAAAACAGTTCAACTTAAGTTTTGCCTATGTTTGCAAATCTAATAAGGTCAAGGTTGCCACTGTGGATTAACTGGCTTTGTCTGCTCAGGAGATTCTCAGGTCTATTTTCCATTTTATTTTATTTTAACACTAGTCAACAGGGGAAAGGACTTCAAAAAATAGAATAGGAATGTTGTAGCTAAAAAGGAACTTGGAAACAGTGGAGGAAGAGATGTACTCCTAGAAAAGTGATAGATACTTCTGAAGTTCACACCCCTGAGACATAAGCCCACTAAAATACTAAGACGCAAGTAGAAGATTATAGAATGCTCACATCTTACCACTTTCCCCACATCTTACCACTAAACTAACCAACTTACAATAATAATAACAGTGGATTACAGGTGAAAAAGTAGCAAGGCACAGACTCTACCTGAGGAAGAGTACATAGGGAAGACCCAAAGCCAGGAAAGGAGGATAAAACAGTACCAGTAGAGGAATTTGAAGCCTCTGTTGCCTCTAGCTACAATAAACTATAAACAGCCTGACTCCTAGCCAGATTAACACAAATCCTCATATTAAAGGCAAATCTACTTTTGTACCTATTATCTTAAACAACTCTGGCTGTCAGCCCAAAATTACAAGTCATTTCAGAAGGCAAGGCAGTCTGGAGACAATTATCAGAACCAGACTCAGATATGATAGATGTTCGGTTTATCAGACAGGAACTTAAAGGAAAAAGTAGACGACGTACAAAATCAGACGGGCAATATAAGCAAAGAGATGACCTCTATAAGAAAGAATCAAGGCACAAGTGGAGAAACTGTCTTTAGGCAGGAAGAGGGACAAATTTAATATAACAGTAGAGAAGAAAAAAAATGTTTGGTGCAGATATAGACATCCATTTGTAATGCTAGCTTTGGTTTCTCTGTTAATTCAGTCCTGTATTTTGTGATTTGGGAGGCACAGGGTGGGAAGGGGCAAAGGTAGGAGGCCATATTGTATGCACTTTCCTGTCTTCCTTCTGGGACTGTTAACCAGACCTGCCTCTCCAGGGCACCCAGCTAGGCTGTGGGAGAGGAAAAGAATGTAATGAGTGAAGAATGCTCAAAGGTGTTTTATTTAACTTAGATTTGGTCGGCTATTGTGCCACAATCTCTATCAAACAACAATCACGGTTGTTCATGTTGAGAGTGAGTACAGCTGTGACACATATGAAACATTAGGAAATGGAGAAGGCAAAGGAGAGGCCCACACAGTTTCCTGTTGACTCTTTCATTAGCACATAAATGTTTAGTTTACACTACCCAGATATCTGAGCATGACAAATTCCTCCAGTATGGTAGCTGTGAAATGAAATAGTCAACAAGGAGCCAGGACACAGTTTGATGTGCTGTGAAATTGGGGAACCAAGTCCAGGGAAACCAGAGATTTTAAATTCAACATCCTGTTTCCACAAATTAGTTCTCACATCTAAGTAAGGGCAGTATGTTTTTTAGTTTTTGGAGATTAGATATCTAGAATATTAGATTCTAGTGATCAAAGAAAAAAAGTAAGAAAAGATGAAAGGGGATTCATATTATCATGAACTACCATTTACTGAGCACCTATTATGTCTTGAGCTCTGTACTGTATCAGATATTTTACTGAGCTCCCAATACCTTTTCAAGGTAGGTTTTAAAAACACTCATTTTATAAGTGAGGAAGTAGAAGCCTCAAGAAGTAAATAAATACACAGAGCTGGGAAGAGGTGCATGTCTCATACAAACTCATGTTTTATTGGTATGGCATGGGAGTTTTTAAACTTCCATCTCCATATCCACTGTTTATTCCACTGCTTTGTGTTTTTCATATAACAGCAAGTGGGAAAGTAAGTTGTGATAATTGTTTTGCTTAAAAAATGAAAACTTAGCTCTCTATTGGAGGTTTTTTTTTATCTGATTTCCACCTCAGTTAAATAGTTTGCATTGGTAGCATTGTACTCTATTGATTTAAATGTAAATTTAAAAGTTAAAAGAGTAATGATGGCTTTTAATGCCTTTACAAAATTATGTGATTATACAATATTGAAAATAAAGTTATTGTGACTATACAAGATTCCTTGCCAAATGCTAGAAAGTGCAATTAAAGGCAAGAGAAATTGTCAAGTTTCTTAAAATAGATCATATAATTTTGAGAGCTTGAGAGAGTGATGCCATCAAGTGATGCCTCCTGAAGGACTCTCACACTAGCCCTGAACTGCTATTAATATTTTGCTGAAGAACTTCCACTCAGCTTGTAAACAAAGCTATTTAACTTCTAGCAATACTTAATAAATCAAGAAAACTATATAAACAAGTAAACCCAAAGTTTGACCACATAGTCAGTATAGATAAAAATGTTATGCCTACATTTATACTTTCAATTGTAAAGAAGCTAAAATGACCCCAATTGATGAAGAATTTGTGATTGGGGCAGGAGGGGTAGAGATGGACAACCCACCTGGGGTGCTGAAGAGCAATACGTGATTTCACTAATGCTACACAAACATTGTACAAGAGGTGTTCCAGAGAAGTTTTACATATGCCAGCTAATTGTTATGGATGCTAATTTATGAAGGTCTTGAAGAATGAGAAACTACCTGTAACAGTGACCAAGCAGACATCCTAGGAAAACTAAGTATTAAAGAATTATAAGAGTCTGAATAGGTTGAAAAGTTAGGGATGGGGACTATTTCATGTATGTACCTTCCTCCTCTACCCAACTAGTGTTCATGTCAGAGTTTTCCATATAGTTGCACTAAAGAAATTATTTAATATTTTTGAAATGAAGGAACAACATTTCCTAATGGATACAGAATGTTTAATGTCATAGAAGAGCACAAAAAATCCCATCAGAGACCCTTCTACTCTTCTCACATCCATTTCAGATACATTCTCAGAGTCAGCACTATCCTATTTTTAAACATTTCATTTGTCAGCTTTTTATTATTAAAAAAAATGTCCAATTTGCTTAAAGTGCCTCAGGCAGAAGTATGATCAAATTCATTGATGACAGCGACACTGAATAAGAATGGCCAGGGACGGAAATACCAGGGCCCATTAAAATGGACCCATGGATAAAGGACACTCTCACTGCTGCATTTGACCACATTCTGGGTTTAGCAAAATAAAACCAGGGATGATCATAGATTGACTCAGAATGAACCTCAGAGGCCATGTTTTCACAGCCCAAAAGACGGAATTGCTCTCTGGCCTGACCAAGAATATTCCCAGGGGGTTGTCTGAGTAACTGCGTTGTCTCCATATGCCTTCTCAGCTTAAACTGTTTTCCCTCAAAGATCTGTCAGGGAAGGAATGGACTTTGACATTCTTATGTGGAGGTGTTGCCTCAAGCACACATAGGTTTAGATGATTTTAAATCAGGGTTGTTCATGTTGAGAGTGAGTACAGCACGACATATATGAAACATTAAGAAATGGAGAAGGCAAAGGAGAGGCCCACACAGTTTCCTGTCGGCTCTTTCATTAGCACATAAGTATTTAGGTTACACTACCCAGATATCTGAGCATGACAAATTCCTCTAGTATGGTAGCCATGAAATGAAGTAGTCAACAAGGAGCCAGGACACAGTCTGATGTGCTGTGAAATTGGGGAGCCAAGTTCAGGGAAATCCAGAGATTTTAAACTAAAAATCCTGTTTCCACAAATGAGTTGTCACATCTAAGCAAGAGTCATTTTTTTTAGTTCTTTGGGATTGAGGTCATTGAAGGGGTATGGGGGAAGGACAAGGAATGGAAGGCAGCTGAGCCGGCAGTAGAGAGGGCAGTGCTGCTGAAATCCTGAGGGGTCTCTATGGAGGAGTCACAGCCTGTCTCGTGGATGTCCTTATCTCCTTCCTGAAGAGGTGCTGAGCAGAAGGAAAGCTCCAGGAACTTGCCCTTGATTGAAGGCCATGAATAAGGCTTCTGGAGGTCTGGCTGAGAGTGGAGGGGGCAAGACATCATGAAGGCCAGAGAAAGGAGGTCTCAACTGATGTGGCACGAGGGAGGAGACCAAATGGAGAGATGCCACTTAGAAGTGGCTGCTAAGCCTTGGCCAGGTATGGTGGCTCATGCCTGTAATCTCAACACTTTGGGAGGCCAAGGCAGGTGGATCACTTGAGGTCAGGAGTTTGAGACCAGCCTGGCAAACATGGAGAAACTCTGTCTTTAGTAAAAACATAAAAATTAGCTGGGCTTGGTGGCGGGCAACTGTAGTCCCAGCTACTTGGGAGGCTGAGGCAGGAGAATCACGTGAACTCGGGAGGAAGAGGTTGCAGTGAGCCGAGATCATGCTGCTGCACTTCAGAGTGGGTGACAGAGCAAGATTTCGTCTCAAAAAAGAAAAAAAGTGCCTGCTAAGCTTTTCAACAAACGGTGACAGAACAATTGGACATCCATAGGCAGGGGTAAAAAAAGAGACAAGGGAGGAAAGGTGGAAGGGAGCAGGAAGGAAGGAAAGAAGAAAGAGGAGGAGATCCTTGACCTAAGCTTCACACCTTATAAAAAATTAATACAGAATGGATCATAAACTTAAGTGAAAAATATAAAACTATAAAACATATAGCTATCAAACAAAAATACAGGAGAAAATTTTTGTGATCCAGGACTAGGCAAAGATCTCTTAGGTTTGGCACCAAAAGCCCAATCTATAAAAGCAAAAATTGGCAAATTAGACCTCATCAAAATTTAAAAAATTTGCTGTGCAAATGACTCTTAACAGAATGAAAAGACAAGCTACAGACTAGGAGAAAATATTTGCAAACCGTATATCAAACAAAGAACTGCTACTTAACCTATATAAATAACTCTCAAAATTCAACAGTTTAAAAAAGCCAAACAATTCAATTATAACATGGGCAGAAGACATGCACAGATATTTTATTGAAGAGATAGATATACAGATAATAAATAAGCACATGAAAAGATGTTGACCAACTGTATTAGCCTGTTCTCACACTGCTATAAAGAACTGCCCGAGACTGGATAATCTATAAAGGAAAAAGGTTTAATTGACTAAGAGTTCAGCTTGGCTTGGGTGGCCTCAGGAAACTTACAATCATGGCGGAAGGGGAAATGGAAGCAAGACACTTTCTTCACAAGGCATCAGGAAGGAGAAGTGCCAAGCGAAGTGGGGAAGAGGCGTTTATAAAACCAGCAGATCTCCTGAGAACTCACTCACTATCACAAGAACAGCATGGGGGGAAAACGCCCCCAAGATCCAATTACCTCCACTTGGTCTCTCCCTTGAGATGTGAGGATTATGGGGATTATGGCGATTACAATTCAAGATGAGATTTCGATGTGGAACAAAGGCTAACCATATCACCAACATTAGCCATTAGAGAAACACAAATTAAAACCACAATGAGATATTAATATCTCTACACACCTATTAGAATAGCTAAAATTTTAAAAAATGACCACAACAAATGCTGGCAAGTCTATGGAGAAACTGTATGGCTCTTACATATTGCTGGTAGACTATAAAATGGAAAAACCACTCAGGGAAACAGTTTTGCAGTTTCTTATAAAACATGCGACTACCGTACAGCCCAGAAATTGCACTCTTGGGCAGTCATCCCAGAGAAATTAAAACTTATGTTCACGTCTGCACATGGATGCTCATAGCAGTTTTATCTGTAGTAGCCAAAATCTGGGAAGAGCTAAGATAATCTTCACCATACAAATGATTAAACAAATTATGGTACATTCATACCATGGCAAGTGGGTTTGGCTATAAAAGGGAAAGGAAAGGTATCTCTGTGGTGATGGAAATCTTCTGCATTTTGACATATCAATATTAATATCTTGGTTGTGATACTGTATCACGGGTTCACAAGATGTTATCGCTGGTGGAATCTGGGTAAAATATCTCTCTGTATTATTATTATTATTATTTTTCTTTTGAGATGGAGTCTCGCTCTCTTGCCCAGGCTGGAGTGCAGTGGCACGATCTCCACTCACTGCAAGCTCCGCCTCCTGGGTTCACACCATTCTCCTGCCTCAGCCTCCTGAGTAGCTGGGACTACAGGTGCCCACCACCATGCCTGGCTAATTTTTTGTGTTTTTAGTGAGACGGGGTTTCACCGGGTTAGCCAGGATGGTCTTGATCTCCTGACCTCATGATCTACCTGCCTCGGCCTCCCAAAGTGCTGGGATTACAGGCGTGAGCCACTGCACCCGGCCTCTCTGTATTATTTCTTATAACTGCAAGTGTATCTACAATTATCTCAAAATTAAAAGTTCAATTTTAACAAAAGTTCCTGAAAGTCCATTTAAAAAAGTCAATATATTATCTCCTTTAGAAAGTTCAGACCATATACAAGGTGGCTAGATTCTGAGGATCCAGAGAGAAATGGGGAAGAGGAGGTGCTTTGAACTTTGAAGTGCTTTAAGCAGAGGAGTACCATGATCAGATTTACATTTAAGACAGCCGTGATTTTCCTTTGTGATATGGATTTGAAGTGGTGGGTGTTTATGGCTTGGGTAGGGAGACTAGAGGGAGAGAAACCACATAAAGGGTGATTACCACCAACGAGAAGAAACATCCTAAGGGACTGTTCTACCAAGGCAAAATATTAAGGGTGGTGAGAAAGGAAACACACAAGAAACAGATGATGGATTAATAGTACACAGTGGTTGGTTTGATTTGTGGTGGGGATTGGACAAAGAAAACCAAGAATCAAGAAATATTTCTAGGGTCTTTTGCATTATCTTTCTATTGGAGAAACGATGGTCCACAATGATGAAGTTACTGGTTTAACATAAAAATCTTGGCTTCCTAACTCCATGAACATGTATTCTCAAAGAAACGGCATACTAATTATCCAGAAATTCCAGCATTTCTAGAAGAGATCTATCTATTCCTTGACCTAGTTGTGGAATTAAATGTTATACTTTCCCTTTGGAAAGAGACATCTGAAAACTATACCTAAAAGCAGTCTATATAACTTAATTACTACACTGTATTTTTGGGAAGAAGAGGGAACATCATATTCATAGTGAATATACTCAAATAGCACAGGGCTCTGTCCAGAGGAGAGGTTTAGGGTGAATGCATGGTGGATTAGGCCTACCTATGTTTATTGGAGCTCTGACTCAAGCAGGCCCTGTCCAGATTGTAGTGTCACATGCAATCCTGTCTGTGGACTCCCAAGGGTTTCTGAGCATCTGCAATGCACTTCTGGGGTTTTCCTGTTAGGGAGAGAAAAAAAATCTGCCAACGTTAACCATTTTTATAGTCCCCATCAAACAACATTGCCATGTTGGACAAGGGGAGGTTCCAGTTGTGGATTTCTCCTTTACAGAAGCCCTCACTATTATTTCCTGGGGAACTCTAGAACTCCGCAGGGTCTGTCCTGTCATCAGTGTCCCATAGCACCTGGCCTCCTGGGCAGTGCTCCCTAGTACCTGCTGGCTAAGCACAAGAACTTGAGGCATTTTACTTCTTATCCCAGGAGAGCTGGTGTGGATGGGGGTTGGGGTCTCTTTATGAAGAGCACCTTCCTCCACCCACAACTAGTTTCTTTTAGCACCTTCTTGGGAAGAGAGAAGCAATACCACAAACAAGAAGCCACCCAGGTTGTCATGTGAACACTGTCTTGCACAAAAGAGACCTGAGGGAGTAATTAAATTTCTCTGATGCCCTATCATCATTAAGGCTGTTTTTTTTTCCTTCTATAAATACTGAATTACCCTGTGGTGTTTATTTAACATAATACCCAGAAGATACTGGACGTGCTTTCACATAAGATGCTTTTTTTCCTTTCCTTACATCTGTCTCACTGTTTCCCTAGGGCCCCTCAAGGGACTCAGCAGAACCCTGGAAGATGTGTCCTGATGGTGAAAGCTATGCTAAGTTTGGCCATGGGAAATGAAGCTCTTTCCAGGGAAATTCTATTTTTGTTTTCGTGTCTGCTTGAATAGACATGGATAAGAAATTAAATCTGGCCAGGGGGTTGATGCTGGAGCTTGTGGGGGAGAGGGGCATATGGAAGGGTCGGGGAAGAAGAGCAAAGCCTGGCCAGGAGGTAGCCCCTAAGGTGATAAAAGAAGGTCTGGAACCTTGCAAAAGCAGATCAGTGTGGCATTAGCAGCAGAAGAGATGTGCCAGTGGCTGATGAAATACGATCTTAAGGGACAGCTGAAATCTAGTTATTAGTGGAGGGAAAGAACCAGCCTGAGCTAGAGAAGTGATTTGAAGTGGGGGGACGTAAATAGAAACTGTGATTAGATAATGCCAGTCACTTACCTGCTGCCCAAGGAGGATGTGAGGAAGAACTGGGTTACAAGCTAGGCTCTTGATAGACACACCAGGTTCATCATCGTTGCTATTACATCTAGCATGTAAAGAAAAGCCCGTATGCACAGACCAGCCCATCTGTGCATTGGCAGATGGAATGGGAGCTGCCCGGGTAAAGAGCGCAGTATGATTTAGGGCTAGATATGAATGAAATTATACTTAGGCTAGTTCAAATACAATTGCATTAATATGACCGTCTCAGATTTTTAACTGAATGAACAGTTTCTGAATTGATCTTATTGTTTAAAGTCATGCCAGTTAACGGCTTTTCACAATAAAATTGCCTTTGGCTGATTTAAACATCGATAGAAGATTTTAAAAATGATTTGATTATATTTTAAACCTCAAATCAAGATTTCTATGAAATTGGACATGTCCCATTTCCCCCTTTGTAAACTGGCTTATTTCTGAACATGCAATGAGTAAAACCAAACCAAATTACAAGCAGATCTGACAAATCTTAGCTCAAACCTCAGTCAAAGCCTTTGTTTTCTGTGAACTATTGGATAAGTTGCTTAATTCCTGTTTCCTCAATAGAAAAAAAAAATGGGACAATAATATCTACTTTGAAAGCCTATAGTGAAGACATAAGATAAAAAGTGCATAATATTATGTTCAACCTATAGCAGACATTCAGCAATGGTTTGCTACATAACTATGTTTATTTTGCATATAGTTCTTAGGTGTGTATGTTTGCAATGTTGAAAAGACCTGGAGTGGAGACAGGACACTGGTTGTATCCAACAGAGAGAAAAGGCATAGAGAAAATAAAAGGCGTGATACATTTGGGAATTTTTAAAAAAATGTTGATCAGTAAGAAAATTACAAACATATTAGTTCATGGAAAGTCTTAATTTGAACTTAATTTCCTAGTTCAGAGGTTGGCAAGCTTCTTCTATAGAAAAGCCAGATAGTAAATATTTCCAGCTTTGTGGACCACACAGCCTCTGTCACAGATAATCAACTGTGACATGATAGCGTGAGAACAGCCACAGATAATATGTAAGCAAATGAACATGGTTGTATTCCAATAAAGCTTTATTTACAAAATCAGGCATTAGTCCTGATTTGGTCCTTAGGCTGTAGTTTGCCAACCCTTGGTGTAAGTGGCAGCATCCTATTTTATCATTCCTCCATTTAGAAATACACAAATATTTTGCTTTATGAACTGGTTAGCTTCCAGCTAATCTTGAACTATATTCATTCATTAAGTCATTTAATAAATACTTGAGTGTCTACTGTAATGAAGCACTGTTTGGAGTGCTGGAAAAGTAGCTGTGAACAAAACCACCAAACATTTCTGGCTCTAAGGAGCTCACATGCCTTAAATGATGACAGAGCTATATCTGTCACTCCACTTTTGTATAAATCCTGCTCTACACAAACCATATTTATCAATGTGTGCAGGCTGCACTTAGATTTTCTTCACCCAGAGTCTCCCTATAGCATTAAATAAAGAGATACTCTAGTATACTGTATTTGAATATCAGCAAAATGTTTGACAGAATACCCCTGATATTGATGTGGACTCAATGGAGAAATGTGGCTGGATGATAATGTAACTCAGTGTACTGGAACCTGGATGAAAGACAGTACTCAGTGACTGTTGATTGATGGATAACTGGCAACCTGGAGAGCAATCTCCAGTGACCTAGAAGGCCATGTCCTTGCCTCGGTGCTACCCAACCTTTCCATAGATGACTTAGATGAAAACATGGAAAGCATGCTGATCAAATTTGCAGATGGCATAAAGCAAGGAGGGAGACAGCTGACAGGGCTGAGATCTAAAATGATTTTGACAGGCTGGAACAATAGCCTGAATCTAACAAGGTGAAACTTAATAGGGGTAAATGGAGGGTCCTGCACTTGGGTTCAAAAGTCAAATTGTACATGAGATGGGGGAGAAATGGCTAAACTGCAATACATGGGGAAAAGCCTTAGAGATTTCATTGACAGCAGGCTCAGTGGGAGTCCACAGTGCGATGTGAATGTCAAAAATGCCAGGGGAAACCAGCTATGTTGCTAAAAGGGCATTCCAGGGCAAGGGAGGTGGCTGTGCTATGGTGCTAGGCAAAGATCAGATCATTCACGTGTGGTTCTGAGTTTCAGATGTTTTGAGGGATTGGCACAGACTTGGCCAATGGAAAAAACTCAGTGAATAATGAGAAAACTTAATAACATGGGGCTTGATTAAGAAAATAAAGTTCATGCACTCTTCAAGATGATTTAGGGTTTCCACATCCCTCCAGAGAGAATATTGTGGGGCAAATGGGCAAAATTAACTCATCAAAACTGCCTCTTCTTTGCCACCTTCTCTGAGGACCACAGGGTGAATGGATGTTTGTTAAGAAGCATGCACTCTGGAAATAAAAGAGGCCATAGGGGAGTGAGGGGATCATGTGTTAAAATTCATTTGTTTCTATGGGTTTCCATACCAGTTTCATGCCTCTGTAATCCATGAGCCATTTTTAAGGATCTGCATCAAATAACACAAGTGTGAGTTAGGTGAGTAGAAAGGTAGCTTCTGGTCCACGGAGAAGCTAAGCACTGAGGGCCAGATGTGTGCTGCCCCGGGACCACATTCAACCTGGATTCTTAGAGAAACTTCAGGAAGTCATAGGCTCAAGGAATGGGGCATTTAATTAAATTTTTCTGGTTAACTCTGAAAATATGTTTTCACTCAAGTGTTGCTGCTGAAAAATCTCTCTAAAACACATTTGTTTACATTTTTGCCTTGATAAAATGAATGAATGAATGAATATTGAATCTTTAATGTGTTTTTCTTATTTGTAGGATAAAACCCAAATCTTGTCTGCCTGGTGCAGTCTGACCTGGCACTTGTATATCTCTTTGACATAATCACCTCTTCATTCCAGCAATGTTGACCTTTTCTCAGTTCCCTCTGGCCTTTGATGTATGCTGTCCCTTGATTTTGGAAGAATTTGTCTCCTCTGTCTAATGCACCCTTCAGCATCTCTAACTCATTCTTTCTTTCCAGAAAGTTTAGAAGTCACAATTTCTGGGAAAAACCTTCTGTTTTCCAAAGTCTTTGTTAGGGCCCCATTCAGTACTGTCTGAGGACATCCTGTCCTTGTTATAACATAATTCTTACTCTACTTCCCAATAATTGACTGGCAATTGCTGTGTCTTCCTTTTAAGCCCCAAGAGGGCAGAAACCATGACTGACTGATTTGTTGCTCTATCTCTAGCCTGTAGCCTGGTGCCTAGCACAAAATCTGTGATCGATAAATTTGTTAAATTGAATTAATTCCTTGGAGGTATTAAGATTTGAAGGGACATTATTTTGGCCATCAATAACATTGTGCTAAATATAAGTTGGCAATAATACTGTAATAGTGATAGGAACCATCTATTCCAGTGTGCTTTTATGTTAGAATAAGGAAGTTGAGTTCCAGTGGAGGGGACTGACTTGCCCAAGGCCACATAGCCGTTGAGCAGTTAAGCAAGCACTAGACTCCATTTATCTTGCCTAGAATTATATTTTTCTGTCTCACCATAACTGCCACTGCCAGACTGTGAAGTCACACATTCGCTCTGGCAAAATCAAACACAAGAGGGATTTATTATCTCTGAATCCCAAGAATACTGGAAAGCCAGGTTTGGGAAAAGAGCAGGAACTGAGAATGGTGAGGCATTTGGAAGGGTGGACTGAAGCGTATCCCAGTTTGAAACAAGCCATGCCTTGGGATGGTCTGGCTAGGAGGCTGACCTGTCAACTCAGTGCCGCTACCATTGGACCTTGGATTCTTCCCAGTAGGCTCACAGTCCTGGCACCACTCTGCTTTCCTACTGGATTTCTTACATGTCCCTGCATTTTTCCCCTTACCCCTTTAATATCCAAAATCCCAGGCAGGAGCATCTCATTGGCTGAAGTAAGGTAATGGGTCTGAACCTAAGGTGCTGGGAGTAGGCCCAGGGAGAGTATCTGGCCCCATCCTGGTTGCTGCTATGTGAGGCAGATGTGACCAGGACTGACACAGTCTAGGAAGAGTGCCCAGGTGCCTGTAGCCATAAAACAAACAAACTAAACCCTGCCCAGTCACCTCCCACTGCGCTGTTTGTGTCTTCAGTGCCTCCGTATCACCATGTCACTTGTGGCTCACTCTAAGCAGCTTTCCTTTTGCCAGTAGAAGTAAAGATAACAACAGGAGGCACTGCATTATTTTTACTTTTTAGAAAATTTGGTAGCCGGTCTTTTCTTGGCTTGTGACTTCATTTTCTCATCTGTGAAATGAATGTGGGGTTTACATGGCCTCTTAGTGGGTCAGCTTTCCTCGACCACTCCATTCATAGGCCCACTCGCCATGAGGTGTGAGTAACTTTCTGGGGGAAAACGTACTATTTGTCAACTTCTCTGCCTCGGGAAAGAAAGTTTGGTAGCTACTGAGTTTGATTTGCTCATTGAAACTCTTGTAGAATCTCTGTCATCATTCTAAGTTCCACCTGCCTTTTCCAGAACTTCAGATGATGAAAGAGAAGATGTCTGGGAGACAAGGTGGATGTACAGGTCCCTGCACATAGTGAGAATACTCTGATTCTGGCTAACACTCTGAAGGTAATTATCAACTTTAGTCCTAAAAATACATGAATGATCTCTGAAATGGACTGGTTCTGAAAGTGAAATAGAAACTTGTCTTAGAAAAGGCTTGGACTCAAGACTTGCCCTTTCCAACCTAGAGCAGAGAGAAGTTTTGGCTAGGCTGCCTCCTTTACCCAACACCCAATTCACTGGGAAATCAACAGCCCTTTGAATTCACTTTGCACACATTAACAGTACAGTTTTACGATGACTTCCAAAACTTCATGGAAAGCACAATCCCAGAGTGACAGAGAGAAATTCTTACTAACTTTTCCTGAAGCATGCTGCTCCTCAGTAGTCTTGTTGGAACATTAGTATTCATACCAAGCATAGCATCTTCCTGACCCATTAAATGATTTAAAACCAACTAGCAAACCAAATGCAACCCAGGAAAATTCTCCTCTTTGAGACAATGTGGAGCCATTATTCATTTAATAGTATAAACATTATTCTCTATCCCACGGTTACTAGCTTTTGAGTCTTTAATGGACTTCACATTGTACTTAGGGGATTAACAGAGAAGTTTGTAATTGATTCTCTTTGTTGGGGGAAATAAAGAAGACAAGTATTTACCTGGTCATGGGTTATGTTACTGATGGAATGCAAAAAGGCTCTCAATGTTTAGAGCAGGATACATTGTTATTTTCTTCTTTAAAGAGGAGCATTGTGGTTAATACTTGAAAAACAAATCTGCAAATGTGTGTTCCTTTAAGAGGATTGTAGGTTCCAGACCCCATTTCCTCACATTTACTCACTCAAACATATTCATTGTGCTTTATTGTGCACCTACTGCATGCCAGGCATCCTGTAGTCTCTAAGTAGACAGTGCTTGTGATGTTGAACAGCATAAAGGTGATTCCAACTTTCAGTAGGATGGCAAGGAAGAGCAGGCATTCAGCTAATAATCACACACATCAATTTAAAATCAAAACTTGCAACAGATGCTAAAAAGAAAAGGAATGAGTGTTTATAGAAAAGAAAAACTAAAGATTGGGGGAGAGGTGGGAAAAGAGGATAATGCGATTAACTTCTTTGAGGAAAAAAGAGCATTTCAGTTGAGTCCCTGGTTTCTTTTGCCGAGTGTGTCCATTAGGCTCCTGGCATATGCTTCTGATTCCTCAGTACTGGTCTTTGGTAGCATATCATGATTACTCAGTACAAATGTGTGTCAGTCAGAGGTGCCAGGAAAACTGAGCCACCACCAACAACTGTAGGGATTTAATACAGGAGTTAAAGCTTAGACAAAAGTAGTGGGGCTAGGAAGGGAGGGAAGAGAAGTTGAGGGTCAGAGGGCCAATTTGTAACTAATACTGTCTAAAGTGCTGGTGCAGTTGGGCAAGGCAGAGATTGCAAGAATACATCAAATGCCATACACTTCTGCCTGTGGATGTCCACAAAAGTAAAGCATGTGCAGTCTACAGTGTAGCACTGTGGAAACTGCTGACTCTATGGCTATGCCTGCATCCATGGGAATGCTGCCTCTGAGAGTTTGCAGCCAAGCATCTGGTGTTGGGCTTGTGGCTCCTATTGGTTAGCAAGGCCAGGGGTTGGGTAGACAACCTGGAGTCAGTGCAGGAGGGCAGTGGGGACTAGAGGGGCTGCTGGACACCCCTGTTCCTCTTCATCACTCTGTCTGATCCTCATGACCTTCCAAGAAGAATAAGTGACATCACTTCCATTTCCCAAATCTAGCAAATCCATCCTGAGTTGATCAAAACTTTCCATTTTAGCACTGAAATTCCTGTATGTCAGGCAACACTTCCATCCTGAGCAAACCAGGGCAATGTATCACTCTTTTTTTTTTTTTTTTTTTTTTTTTTTTGAGATGGAGTTTCGCTCTTGTTGCCAATGCTGGAGTGCAATGGTGGGACCTCCGCCTCCTGGGTTCAAGCAATTCTCCTGCCTCAGACTCCTGAGTAGCTGGGATTACAGGTGCCTGCCACCACGCCCAGCTAATTTTTTGTTTTTTTAGTAGAGACGGGGTTTTACCATGTTGGCCAGGCTGGTCTCAAACTCCTGAGCTCAGGTGATCCGCCCTCCTCGGCCTCCCAAAGTGCTGGAATTACTGGCATGAACCATTGCGCTCGGCCTAGTTGATCACTCTTAAGTCTCATGTGAGTTAATCTCATTGACCAGCTTTAATCCAAACCACAAAGAAGAGGGGTTCAGGGAAACAAAATTCCCAGCCATAAGTAGGAACAGTAGTGCCAGGTTAGTCCGGATCATCTGGCATACCAGGTCTATCATATTTCGAAGATCTTTGATGGCCAATATCCAAAGTGGACTATCTTCTAATCAGTGGTGCTATCCCATTTGACATCCCCTTAACGACTATAAAATAAGTTTAATTCATATTTTTAAATAATGATATTTTGGTTGATGATAAAAGAAACTGTATTACAATCTCCAAAACTAAAGTTAGATGTTTTTTGGGCCATCTTGTATTTGGCTTGCTTTTGGTATCACTCTAGTTGCTTAGCTTGAGTAAATGGAAATGAAAGCATCCCAGGCACGTCCACTATCCTGGCACTGGCACAGAGAGCCTGTCCTACAGTTACATAGTTATGAGTGCTCAGGATAGAATAAAATCTCAAATCATTCTGATGGAGAGTTTGCCAGGTATGAAGTAAGGAGAAGTTAGAGGGATGCACTGGGGGGCCACTGTGATTTATTGCTAAGTCTTCCCCAAGAGACCCACTATTGGTTGTAGGGTATCTCAGCCCCAGGGTGTGTGCCAAGCATGGTGGGAATGTGAATGTTGATGACCAGAATGAAGGGTGTTGCTGATAAAGGAAAAAGGGAAGAAAGGTAGTCAGCAAGAAAAGGCAACTATAAGATTTGAAAAGACAGGAGAGAGGAGAAGCATGCTGCATATGACTGCCAGGAAAATTTAATCATGCCTGAGAAAGGCTTGGAGTTATTGGGAATGAAGCAGGCAAGCTTGGGGCCATTCGTTCAGACTCACCCTTATAAGTGATTTGGAGGACTTTGTAGCATGGTAAGTAAGCATAATGGTTTTTGTATTGAACTGTGGCACCCTCAGCCAACTTGAAAGAACCAAGATTCTCTAGAATTCAATTTATTTTGCATTAACGGGAGATCCAATGCTCATCTGTTCTAACTGCTTCTTTTATCTAAGCTGCTAAAGAGTCACATGGTTTAGGAAGAAAATTAAGAAATTTCACATTTGTTGCTCTAAGCAAAATCATTTTGTTATCTACTTTAATGAGCGCATGGATGAGTTTTCCTGTTTTAATAATCACTGTGTCTTAAACTTCTCTTCCATGAAGGCAATATCAACAAAAACTCTCTAGAGGCTTTATCTTTATACAATTAGTTTCTCTCTCTCTACCATCTAAAGTCCTTGAAATTATTTTTAAAACAGTAGGAGACATGTCCTTTCTCTGAAATCTCTGGACATATGTAAGGAAAATGGACGTTACACTATTGCCCTGAAGAAGAAATTGTCATGAACTGAGGTCTCTATCCATATCCGAATTCACATTGTATTGGAGCAGTTTTTAATTTTCCTTTATTTTACTTTCTTTCTGTAGATAAAAGACCTGTATGGATTTCTGTAGGTTCTTCAGTCACTGAGGAGTGAATGTGTATATTCATCGCATTCACATCTGTTGGGAATTCCTAAGAACCGGGAAAAAGCATTCCAAAATATAAATCTAATATTTTGGTGACTCTATCTTACCCTGTTGATAATAGACTGGTATTCATTTCTGTTGCAGTTCCACACTTTGTATCTAAATAACCTAACAAGCTTCTTCAAATGGTGCTTTATCCAAGTCTTCTGGACTGGGGATAGGCCATCCTGTTTCTGACTCAAATTTAACACTACATCTAACCTTAATGTCTTTATGTACATATTATGTTTATTGTCTATACTTCTGAGGTGTTTGAAAGAGTTCACAATGAAAGATAATTTTAAAATAAGACTATTGAAATAGGCAAAAACTGTAAGAAGGAGAAATGATATGTCAGGCACAAATTAATGGTGAGCTACTTGGAATTACAACAAAAAGAACAAGAAGAGTTACACTATTTTAATTGTCTGATGAAATGAGACACAATGTCTTTAGACAGAGAAACACTTCTGTTAGAAATAAGTATTAGAATGTAATTTTTTTTGTAAGGACATGGTGTATGCTCTATTCAAGGATGATTTTTACAGATTATGCTAAAGTAAGTTTGTATGTTTTTTTAATTGGCTCTTGACAAAATGAGGAGGGTATAATATTAAAAAATGTTCAGTAAAGAGGTTTCTGTACAAGGCTAGTCTCATAGGATCCAAGTAAGTTGCTTTCAGGTCATATATTAATAGAAGGCCACAGACACACAAGCAATGAAATTTAGGCCACTACAGTTCCCTGAAAATTCAGTGTAGTTTTATATTTGGCATTTTTCAAAGGGAAGTTATCACTGGTATTTTATAATAAGTTGAAATTTTTATATAGTATTAAGTATTAAGATAAAACTTATGTATTATTTTTACATATTTCTTGTAATCTTTACAGTGTTTTCTTCTTTTTATGTTGAAGAATTATTGGGAATTTCTTGAGACTTTATTGCTGAGCTCCTGGGACCACTTCTAATGCTCCAATGGCTTCCCAGTTTCTCCTTTTTATTTCTCCTCTGTAGACTCTAAGGGGTCTGTCTGTTTTTTCAACTCTCACCACCTACTTCATCCATTGAGATTCTTTTCCTCTGAAGTCTGACTTCACAATAAAAGATATTCTCCCAATATTCTCATTTCCCTGCAGCTTCCTTAGCAACCAATCATCTCAGAAAAACCAGAAAGCAAACAAACACACAGTCTACACCTCGCATGGCTCCACCTACTCCCTGGAGTCAGACTTCAACATCACTCTTCCCAAAGACTCAGACTTTATGAAACAGTGTTAGTAAATTTAATCAAAATATCATAATGTTTTAAATCAAAATATCATATTTTTTAATATCCAGCAACTTTTTGCAGTGCGTGTCTTCTTTGACCTTTCTTCAGCGTTTACCATTAATGACTAGAATCTTTTCCGCAAACTCTCCCCTAGCTATTCCATGTTTTTGCTCTGATCTACAAGGTTGTCCTTTGTGGACTTATCCATCTTGGTCCTGGGTATTTTGCTTGAGGTTCTGTCCCCAACTTTTATCCTGCCTTCCTCCTTTTATCTGTTGATCCCTATCTGTCTGTCTGTCTGTCTGTCTGTCTGTCTATCTATCTATCTATCTATCTATCTGTCTGTCTGTCTGTCTGTCTGTCTGTCTGTCTATCTATCTATCTATCTATCTATCTATCTATCTATCTATCTATCTATCCATCCATCAATCAATCATCTCTGGGTGATGTCCTTCACTCCCATGACTTCAACCATATAGGATATACCTATTCCAACTCTGTATCTCCTAAACATATTTCTTGCTCAGCTCAAGTCTCATTTATCTTACTATTTATTACACATCTTCCTGTTGGTGCACCTCAGGTGCAAAACTCAACTTGTCGTGTTCACTCCCAATCTCTGCCATTGTCTTCTTTTCACTTCATTGTCTGTTCAGTCACACAAAGCAGAAAATTTGGAATCATCGTATACTTAGTTATTTTCTTGATCCTGATATCTAATTGCTCAAGAATAAGATATTTTCTGATTTCACTGAACTCTATGGCCCTGTAGATGTAGTTCTCTTATTTTTGCCAGAAAATAGTAATCCCTACCCCTGCCTAAAGACTAGCCCCAAGGTTGCCTGCTTCATTACTAAGTCATCCAAGCCCTTTTTAGACATGATTGAATTATTCTGGCAGTCAGACACAGAACCCATTTCCTTTATCCTCTCTTTTCAAATCTTATGTTGCCTTTTCTCACTAATTCATTTTGTTCCCATTTCCTTTACTGATAATTCCCTTGTTTTGGTGAAGGCAGATATCTTGGAAGACAATACCTTTCCTCTTCAAGATTAGCCCCTATCTGCCCTCCTGGCCACTAGATCAATCACTAGGATCAAGTTAAGTATGGTTTGATAGGGGAATTACTAGCCCTGCTAAGGGAGAGAGGGATTATTCACTGAAGGACCTGCACTATCATTTTACTATATATTGCCAGAAACTGGGAGAACAAGCCTTGGAATAGATCTCATGGGTACTGGCTGGAGTGCTAGACAGCATAAGGTTACAAAAGGAAGATTTTACAGATAGGGTGTCACACTACCCAGTGCTTCTGAATTTATTTCCATATAAGCAGGATCAGCATCCCCTGAGAAGTTGTTAGAAATGCAGATTCTTAGGGCCCACCAAAACCTACTGGATCAGAAACTCTGGAGATGGGTCCCAGCAACTTTTATTTTAACAATCTCTCCATATGACTATAATGCACCCTAATATTTGAGAAATACGACTCTACCATGATTCAGAATTTAATTCTGGCAAGGGTACCAAGACCTGTCTTAATACACTGGTCAAACTTGGGAAAAACTGTGGCCCACATTAAATAAAGTGGAGGTGCAATAACTGCCTAGGCAGATATTAAGGAAGGTATCAAAATATTAGAAGACATGCACATGCTGAAATGGATTTATTGTATTGGACTGAGGAACACATGAGATGGATACACTCCTTGGATAAACCCAGAGGATATGGCCTCCACTAAGGCAACAAGAAACGTGCTGGTGAGGGGTCAACTCCAGTAAGTTCAGTAGTGCTGTTTTCTGTAACTCCAGCCTGACTCGATGTTCCCTAGAGTTAATAAGGATTATAAAATCCTGAAATTGTAGAGGCCATTGCCAGGGGCAGCAATGAACCGTGAGAGACAAGGTGGAATAAATTATTGTAATGGACATCAAGGTCAGAACTGTAACCAGAAGCCCTGGCCTGCAGGGATCTGTGGAAAACATTAATAAATAGACCATATGGTTTTTAGAGGCAAGATGATGACCAGACAACAACAACAACAACAAACAGATCTGACCTAGCTCTCAGAATCCAAGTCCACTAATTGAAGGAGAGGACAGGTTTCCCTGAGGAATGCACAGCAAATGTATACAGTACTAATTCCTTCTGTTCTTTCCTGAAGTGACGTTGGCCATTTACATGCTTAGCTGTACACTGGGAAAGGAAATTCCCTGATTTTTGAAAGCTATTGGATATTAGATCTGAGCTGACACTGATACTAAGTGCTCCATAGCACAGTCACCATGCTTCTGTTAGAATAAAGACATAAGGATGTCAGGTGATAAATGGAGTTCTGGCACAGTTCTGACTCACAATGGGTCCAGTGTGTCCACAGACCCACCTATTGGTTATTTTTCTCAGAAGTTGGCAGAAATCTCACCAGAGTTCCTTGACCTTCAGAGTAAGAACACTTATTATTGGAAAGGTTAAGTTAAGGACAGAAACTTCCCGCTCCATCTGATACTCATGTACCATCCAAAGAAGCAGAGAAAGAACAATAGCAACTCCCAGATAGATTGAGAGAGTTTAGTGCCATTCTTAAAAACTTAAAAGGTGTGGGATGTTGGCCTACTTTATAACTATATTTAATTGCCCAGGAATCAAAGCTACTCTCATTGTACTGTTTTCTCTCCGCTGGACAAAACTAGAGTTGTTGTTAGACCAGTATTGCTGCTGATAATCTAAGTTCACTATTTCTCTTCTTTAGGCTACCTGGACAAGATTTATAGTTCCTCATGAGAACTTCTAATTAGTCCAGCCAAGGTCATGTTATGCTGATCTGGCTGCTGGAGGTAGGCGTAGTGAGGAATGCAGTGAAGAGGGAGGGACAGGAAGAAAATTATTCCCCACAGTCACTTGTGGCCGTTGCTCAGAGAACAAGGGCAAGAGTGGTCTGGGGTAAAAAAGAAAGAGCAGAGAGGAACCTACTCATATAGGACATTGAGGTCCTGGATAGGATTTTAACTTTAAGGATAATTGCAAAATTATTGAAATATTTTAAGAAGGGGTATGCCATAGTCAATTCTGCTTTTTACAAAGATTACTAAGGATAATTTGTGTAGAATAGATTAGAGTGGCATGAATGGATGCTGAGAGATTTCCATATATAAAAATGTATGCATAAGTCCTTGCAGGGTATGATAGTGAATAAAGCTGGAAGGGGAAATGGAGATAAAAGGTAAAATTGAAAAATACTGAGACTATTAGATGTAGTTGTCTTTAGGGACATTTGAACATCAGAAGTAAGGGTAAGACATGTAAAGTATCCAGTTATACCAAGGGAGCTGGGAACCATCTGCCCTGGGTTTAGGCAACAAAGGAGGAATATTGACTGTAGAATACTTAAAAACAACAATAAACCCACTAAGGTGTCTGATTTTCATCATCACTATGCTCTGGGAAAATTTTTAATTAAAAATTCTGGCTGGGCGTGGTGACTCATGCCTGTAATCCCAGCACTTTGGGAGGCCGAGGAGGGTGGATCACAAGGTCAGGAGTTCAAGAAAAGCCTGACCAACATGTTAAAATCCCATCTCTACTAAAAATACAAAAATTAGACAAGTGTGGTGGCATGCACCGGTAATCCCAGCTGCTCAGGAGGCCGAGGCAGGAGAATCGCTTGAACCCAGGAAGCGGAGGTTGCAGTGAGCCGAGATCGTGCCATTGCACTCCAGCCTGGGCGACAGAGAAAGACTCCATCTCAAAATAATAATAATAATAATAATAATAATAATAATAATAATAATAATAATAATTCTGAGATCTTTATGTATAATAAAATTCACTCATTTTAAGTATCATTTTACTATATACATGTATATAAATGTGCACACACATATATAGATATATACAGAGAGATATAGATATTTATTTCATATGTAGTACTATGAAATTTTAGACCTGTGTAGATTCAGGCAATCATTACCATAATGAGGATACGAATAGCTCCATCACACCAAAAATCAATGTCAGTGATAAGACATTTCTTCCAGAAAAATATTTTATTGGTCTGAGTTCTAGCAATTCCTGTGGTTAGTGTTAATTTTACACACACACACACACACGCGTGCGCACTATATATATCTATATATATTATGATGCATATATTTTATATATATATGAAGGGAAGTTACTGGGTGATAGATATGGTTTGGCTCTGTGTCCCCACCCAAATCTCATGTCAAATTGTAATCCCCTCATGTCGAGGGAGGGACCTGTAATCCCCACTTGTCATGAGAAGGAGGTGATTGGATCATAGAGGCAGTTTCCCCCATCCTGTTCTCGTGATAGTGAATGAGTTCTCATGATAGTGAATGAGTTCTCATGAGATCTGATGGTTTTATAAGAGGCTCTTCCCCCTTTACTTGGTCTCTCTCTCTCTCTCTCTCTCTCTCACCTGTTGCTAGGTAAGACGTGCCTGCTCCTCCTTCTGCCATGATTGTAAGTTTCCTGAGGCCTCCCCAGCCATGCAGAACTGTGAGTCAATTAAACCTCTTTACTTTATAAATTACCCAGTCTCAGGAAAGTTCTTTATAGCAGTGTCAAAATGGACTAATACACTGTGGTTATTTATATATATGATATATTTACTATATATATATATATATATATATATATATATATAAAACTCAACAGTAACCAGAGGAATTTAAAGATTTTTTTTGTGTGTGTGTGTATATATATATATATATATATCTCAGGCAATTATATATATATTATATATATTAGGCAATCATTACCATAATCAGGATATGAATAACATTATATATATATATATAATTTGAAATTAACATGTTTATAATTTGTCTTTTACTGTCTATGTAAAAGGAAGTTAATTTGGAATTCTCAGTTAGACTGCTGCTCTCCATACCTCATGCACACGAAGTCAGGCACATGAGTTCATTTGAGTAGTAAATGCCTAAAGGTGCAGAATCATTTCAGCTCATTTTGGGCACATTTTGTATTTCCAACTCACTTGTACTATACATGCCTAAATTTAAGCAATACATGTGACATAAAGAATGACAGCACAGTGATTGTAACGATGAAGAAAAAGAACTTGAATTATTTAAATTCTGTCACTCTCAGTGATCATTTTAAGTTTTTATTTATGTTTAAAATTTTTTGACTGTGGGACAATTGAAACCTGCTAGAATAGATTCCGAAGAAACAATTACATGAGCAGAATTGCAATTCCTGGATTTTTCGTGTGACATGTAATATTTATGAATCTCCTGCCTAATCTGTCCTTTAAGACTTTTCTCAACTTTGTATATTGGTTACATTACATTAAAAAAATTTGAAAATTAAAATTGATTTAAAAAGATATTCAATCAACAACGAGTGAAGAAAAATGGACAAATCTGTTGTGCTCTCTATTAAACATGAATATGTGAAGAGCAATTTAAGTTCCAACAAATTTGTAGGATATAAGGCTCAGAAACAGAAAGTATATTATTATTAATTATTGCAACAACTAATATGTAGGTGCAGTGTTTTCAGTATTTTAAAAGGTACATTAAGTTCCTTAAAATATGAAACAATTACCTTTTTCCCTTTTACTATATACTTTTAAAAATCATGTATATATGAATTATTTAATTTCTAGCATGACCACAACATTTAATTAAAATGTTTTATTTTTCTCTTTCTGAGTTTCTGTTGTAATCATTGTTATTACTCATTTTTTTCATGATTATTACTGAAAACAATTTTGTTGTATCGATGGGGGGATGTTACTCAGGTGCCAAATATCCAAGGCATGCCTCTGCAAAGCTGATGTGTAGTTTTTTGAAGCGAGCCACTTGGTGAAGGGGGATGTCATTTACTGAGGTGAGGAACACTGCAAGAGAAAAAACTTAGGTGAGCGGACCGTATTGGCGAGGCATACCGAGTTGGAAGTATCATAGTAACACCCTTGAGAAGATATCATGTGGGCAGATGGATACTAACCCCTGAAGCTCAGAAGAGAAGGTTGAGCCTGATGTATACATTTGCTACCCATTAAGGTACAAGAAGAAATTGAAATAATGAGAAAGGATGGGATTGCCTGAAGAGAATGTGCTGCATGAGATTTTAGGATGGCCAGGAACTGAGTCATAAGGAATATCAACATCTAAACTAGGTAAAGATGAGCCGGCAAAAGAAACAGAGAAGTGACCAGAAAGAAGGGAGGAAAAGAGGGAAAATGAAGTGTCACAGTAACCAATGAGTAGATCATAGGTCATACATGCTAAAAGATACTAAAAGATAGAGTAAAATGAAAACAGAAGACATATGCACAGAACTTAAGGAAGTAGAAATATTTAATGACCTTGTGAGAGCACCTTCAGGAAGTGCTATGGCTGGAGGACAAATTTTAGAAAGCTGATGGGAAAAGAGAAAGTGAAGAATTAAACACAGGGAATAAAAATGTGTCTTTCAGGAACTTTGGCTGTAATTTGGGAGAAGAAAGCTACTGTAGTGGTAGCTGGAGTTCGCGGATAGGGAGGACACTGGGAGAGGAAGAGACTGAAGGTGGTGAACACGGAGGAAGAAGCGGAGCTTAAGATTGCTTTGGCGATGCCACTTGTCTATGTTGCCCATGCTTTTGGTGCCACATTCATTGCCAAGACTAAGTCATGAAGATTTTTCAGTATGTTTTCTTGCAGGAGCTCTACAGTTTCAGATCAATGTCTAAGTTTTTAATATGTTTTGAGTTGATTTTTCTGTATGTGGAAGATAAGCATCTGTTTTTATTTTTTTTGCATGTAGATATTCAGATTTCCCAACACTGTCTGTTGAAGAGACTATCCTTTCCCCAGTGTGTATTCTTGGTGCCTCTCTCAAAGATCAGTTGGCCATATATGCATGAGACGATAGGGGGCTCTCTATTCTGTTCCATTGGTTTGTACAACAAACTAAAAAGCTTCTGCATAGCAAAAGAAAAATCAACAGAGTAAAAAGGCAACCTACACAAAGGGAAAAAGATTTCCAAACCATATATCAGGTACGGGGTTAACTTCCAAAATATAAAAGAAATTCCTTTAACTCAGCAGCCCCCCCACCCCCCCGCAAAAAAAAAGAAAAAAAAAGAATAATCCAATTTGGAAAAGGGCAAAGAAACTGAATAGATACTTCTCCTAAAGCTGACATAGAAATGATCAACAGGTGTAGACATAAAGAAGCTGAACATCACTAATCACCAGGGAAATGTAAATCGAACTACAATGAGATATCACCTCATACCTCTTAGGATTGCTATTAACAACAACAACAACAATTGCTGGGTCAAATGGTACTTCAAAGTATTAAGTGTTGGCAAAGATGGGAAGAGATTGGAATTCTTGTACACTATTGGTGGGAATGCAAAGTGATGGAGTTGCTTTGGAAGACAGTATGAAGATTCCTGAAAAAAAATAAAAATAGAACTATCATATGATCCAGCAATTCCACTTCTGGATATTCATTCAATAGAATTGAAATCAGGATCTTGAGTTGATAGTACCACTCCCATGTTCATTAAAACACTATTCATATTAGCCAAGATGTGGAAACAACGTAAATGTTTATCAACAGATGAACTGATAAATAAAATGTGGAATATATACACATTGGGATATAATTCAGCATTAAAAATAAGGAAATCTTGTTATATGTGACAAAATGGATGAATCTTGAGGACAGTATGCTAAGTGAAATAAACCAGGAACAGAAAGATAAACACTGCATGATTCCATGTACATGAAGTGTTTAAAATAGTCAAACTCAGAGTCAGAGAGCAGAATTGTGGTTGTCAAGCCTGAAATGAGAGGGAAATGGAGAGTCGCTTATCAACAGGCATACAGGCACAATTATGCAAGATGAACACGTTCTAGAGATTTGCTATGCAACATTGTCCCTATAGTTAATTATACTGTATTGTGCACTTAAAATTTTAGAGTAGATCTCATTTTAACTGTTCTTACTAAAATTAAATTAATTTAATTTTTAAAAAAGATTCCTTTGGTGAAAGAAAACTCAACCAAACTAGAAAAATTGGTCACTTGAAGGATGATAGGAGAAGGAAGAAAATATATATAAAGATGCAGGTAATAACAATTAAATGAACTACCTAAAATAAATCCTCCTTTAAGTTTTAATTTTGATTCAGTAAAATGGGATTTTTTAGTCCCAACAATCTTAGCAAAGACTTTCCATTGCTTTTAACTCCATAAATCTGAAAGCTTTGGGAAGCTAATAATACATATTTGAATTTTGTATCTTTGATTAATTATTTCAAGTCATATTAGTCAAAAGCATTACAAAGTTCTATTACTGGGTCATATGATAAACATCCAGGCCATTGTTTTCTGAAGTTATGCCAAAATATCTCATTTTCCTGTTCTTTTTTGTTTTATGATTATAATATAAGAAGTTCTTTCATAATTGAATAAGGTTACTGATATTTTTTTGAGATTCATTAAGCTGTTACTGTTTTCCCTTTTCTATTAGTATCCAAGAACATGATATCATGGGTTATTCATTCTAAGTTGAATTACTACATTTTTAAAAGCCACTGAACTGTTTGTAACATTAAAGAACAAATGATCTGTGTTACAGACATGAATTTGTTAATTTTCTGTTAAACTGTAAGATTTGTGGAAACTCATTTGAACTTATTATCATATCATATATCACATTATTTTTGTATATATCATGATTTTGATCATGTACCCTAGATTGAAGGTTTTTCCTTCAAATCTGTTTCTCCTTTCTTTCTGAGCACCTGACCACCCAGCTAGACATTATGTTTCCCAGTATTTCTCTACTCACTCCCATCTTGCTGCTAGCTGGACCTGGCAACAGTGGTAGCAATCTCAGATATACCTGATGAGCTGGCAGAATGTCCCATTGGCTAGGCACCTGAATCATGCTATAGAGCAGAGACTACCTACCCATATTGTATTTTATGAAGGTGAAATAAACACATATCTTATTTGAGTAGTTTTACTTGACCTTAATTAATAAAAAAATTGTTAGTTGGAAGAAGTGTTCTGAAATGACAAAAGCCTAAAATAAGTGGCACTGGCCCAGTGGGTGGCTGCTGGGTGGTGAAGAAATAGATACTGCAGGCTGGAAAGCAGGAGATACTTATTATGCTATAGAAACTCTTTGGTGAAATTATCATCCATGACAACTTAGAAAGCAAATGATGTGCCTATGGAGACTGTAACTCTATGGAAGGCAATTAGATAGAGCCAGAATGTTCTGGTGTATTATTTACTCTTTGCTGGTTTTAGAAAAACATAACAAGAAAAAGATAAATACATACAAGAATTGGAAAGTTTGCAAGCAGTGTGGGAAAACACAGGTGCTTCTGAATTGCAAAGAGCAGAGATAAGGCTATTTGCCCAGAGCCTTTCATAAAAGCCCTATCATTAAGACTTTCAGACAAACTAAAGGATACAGCTTTGTGCCAGAAAGTCAGGCTAATATTTGTATCTAACTAACAACTTGCATAGGTTATCCCTGTTAAAATGAGGGAGGGAGGTATAGGATCAATACTGATTTTGGTATCTAAAGCCAAATTTAGCAGGTGTCCATAAAGGAAATTTGGGTGAGGTTACTTGAACACAAACATGTCAAGTGCCAAAAGATCAGAAACTTACTAAGTTTTTGAAGGAACTGTAGGCCACAGGGCTGGGCTACAAAACCTTTCAGCCTCTCAAAACTGCATCAGCTGAAAGCTGGCTGTATCTGCAGACCTGATGAAGAGGATTGTAGATCACTAAGAGTTCAAGATTTTGGAATAGAGGCAGTAACCGGAGAGGTCCTTGTATTGTGTTCCTTGTGGTAAAAGGTCTATGTTTGGAGAGGAGAGTGCCGGTTGTTAAAAGGCAGGCCGGAGTGATAGGCTGAAGTAGATATCATATTGCTGTGCACTTTTAGTTATGTTCTCCCTTTCTTTTTTATTTTATACTTTAAGTGCTGGGGTACATGTGCAGAACGTGCAGGTTTGTTACATAGGTATACACATGCCATGGTGATTTACTGCATCCATCAACCCATCATCTACATTAGGTATTTCGCCTAATGCTATCCTTCCTCCAGTCCCCGACCCCCCAACAGGCTCTGGTGTTTGATGCCCCGCCCCAACCCCTGTGTCCATGTGTTCTCATTGTTCAACCCCCACTTATGAGTGAGAACATGTGGTGTTTGGTTTTCTGTTCTTGTGTTAGTTTGCTGAGAATGATGGTTTCCAGCCTCATCCATGTCCCTGCAAAGGACATGAACTCATCCTTCTTTATGGCTGCATAGTATTCCATGTAGCCATGGAATCCACCACACCACATGGTGTGTATGTGCCACATTTTCTTAATCCAGTCTACCATTGATGGGCATTTGTGTTGGTTCCAAGTCTTTGCTATTGTGAACAGTGCCGCAATAAACAGACGTGTGCATGTGCCTTTATAGTAGAATGATTTATAATCCTTTGGGTATATACCCAATAATGGGATTGCTGGGTCAAATGGTACTTCTAGTTCTAGATCCCTGAGGAATCGCCACACTGTCTTCCACAATGGTTGAACTAATTTACACTCCCACCAATGGTGTAAAAGCGTTCATTTTTCTCCACATCCTCTCCAGCATCTGTTGCTTCCTGACTTTTTAATGATCGCCATTCTAACTGGTGTGAGATGGTATCTCATTATGGTTTTGATTTGCATTTCTCTAATGATCAGTGATTGATAAGCTTTTTTCATGTTTGTTGGCTGCATAAATGTCGTCTTTTGAGAAGTGTCTGTTCAAATCCTTCACACACTTTTTGATGGAGTTGTTTGTTTTTTTCTTGTAAATTTGTTTAAGTTCTTTGCAGATTCTGGATATTAGCCCTTTGTCAGATGGATAGATTGCAAAAATTTTCTCCCATTCTGTAGGTTGGCTATTCACTCTGATGATAGTTTCTTTTGCTGTGCAGAAGCTCTTTAGTTTAATTAGATCCCATTTGTCAATTTTGGCTTTTGTTGCCATTGCTTTTGGTATTTTAGTCATGAAGCCTTTGTCCAGTTCCATGTCCTGAATGGTATTGCCTAGGTTTTCTTCTAGGGTTTTTATGGTTTTAGGTCTTATATTTAAGTCTTTAATCCATCCTGAGTTAATTTTTGTATAAGGTGTAAGGAAGGGATCCAGTTTCAGCTTTCTGCACATGGCTAGTCGGTTTTCCCAACACCATTTATTAAATAGGGAATCCTTTCCCCATTGCTTGTTTTCGTCAGGTTCATCAACGATCACATAGTTGTAGATGTGTGGTGTTATTTCTGAGGCCTCTGTTCTGTTCCATTGGTCTATATATCTGTTTTGGTACCAGTACCATGCTGTTTTGGTTACTGTAGTCTTGTAGTATAGTTTGAAGTCAGGTAGTGTGATGCCTCCAGCTTTGTTCTTTTTGCTTAGGATTGTCTTGGCTATGCAGGCTCTTTTTTGGTTCCATATGAACTTTAAAGTAGTTTTTTTCCAGTTTTTTGAAGAAAGCCAATGGTAGCTTGATGGGGATAGCATTGAATCTATAAATTTCTTTGGGCTATATGGCCATTTTCACTATATTGGTTCTTCCTATTCATGAGCATGGAATGTTTTTCCATTTGTTTGTGTCCTCTCTTATTTCCTTGAGTAGTGGTTTGTAGTTCTCCTTGAAGAGGTCCTTCACATCCCTTTTAAGTTGGATTCCTAGGTATTTTATTCTCTTTGTAGAAGTTGTGCATGGGAGTTCACTCATGATTTGGCTCTGTTTATCTTTTATTGGTGTATAGGAATGCTTGTGATTTTTTCACATTGATTTTGTATCCTGAGACTTTGCTGAAGTTGCTTATCATCTGAAGGAGATTTGGGGCTGAGACAATGGGGTTTTCTAAATATACAGTCATGTCATCTGCAAACAGAAATAATTTGACTTCCTCTTTTCCTAATTGAATACCCTTTATTTCTTTCTCTTGCCTGATTGCCCTGGCTAGAACTTCCAATACTATGTTGAATAGGAGTGGTGAGAGAGGGCATCCTTGTCTTGTGCCGGTTTTCAAACAGAATGCTTCCAGTTTTTGCACATTCAGTATGATACTGGCTGTGGGTTTGTCATAAATAGCTCTTATTATTTTGACATACATTCCATCAATACCTAGTTTATTGAGAGTTTTTAGCATGATAGGCTGTTGAATTTTGTAGAAGGACTTTTGTGTATCTATTGAGAAAATCATGTGGTTTTCGTCATTGGTTCTGTTTATGTGATGGATTATGTTTATTGATTTGTGTACGTTGAACCAGCCTTGCATCCCAGGGATGAAGCTGACTTGATCATGGTGGATAAGCTTTTTGATCTGCTGCTGGATTCAGTTTGCCAGTATTTTATTGAGGATTTTTGCATTGATGTTCACCAGGGATATTGGCCTGAAATTTTCTTTTTTTGTTGTATCTCTGCCAGGTTTTGGTATCAGGATGACGCTGGCCTCATATAATGAGATAGGGAGGATTCCCTCTTTTTCTATTGTTTGGAATAGTTTCAGAAGGAATGGTACCAGCTCCTCTTTGTACCTCTGGTAGAAGTCGGCTGTGAATCCGTCTGGTCCTGGATGTTTTTTGGTTGGTAGGCTATTAATTACTGCCTCAGTTTTAGAACTGGGTCTATTCAGGGATTTGACTTCTTCCTGGTTTAGTCTTGAGAGGGTGTATGTGTCTAGGAATTTATCCCACAATATTAATGGGAGACTTTAACACCCCAATGTCAAAATTAGACAGATCAATGAGACAGAAAATTAACAAGGATATCCAGGACTTGAACTCAGCTCTGGACCAAGCAGAACTAATAGACATTTACAGAACTCTCCACCCCAAATCAACAGAATATACATTCTTCTCAGCACCACATTGCACTTATTCTAAAATTGGCCACATAATTGGAAGTAAAACACTCCTCAGCAAATGCAAAAGAACAGAAATCATAACAAACAGTCTTTCAGACCACAGAACAATCAAATTAGAACTCAGGATTAAGAATCTCACTCAAAACTGCACAACTACATGGAGACTGAACAACCTGCTCCTGAATGACTACTGGGTAAATAACGAAATGAAGGCAGAAATAAAGATGTTCTTTGAAATCAATGAGAACAAAGACACAATGTACCAGAATCTCTGGAACACATTTAAAGCAGTGTGTAGAGGGAAATTTATAGCACTAAATGCACACAAGAGAAAGCAGGAAAGATCTAACATTGACACCCTGTTCTCCCTTTCTTCTTAGTTGTATGGTCACTAAGCCATAAACTACATTTTCTGGCTTTCTTTGAAGCTAGGTGTGGCCATGTGACTAAATTCTCACTAATGGGATGTGAGGATAAGTATGGCTACACGCAGCTTCTGGATTATCTTCTTCAAAGTCCTTGCCCTGTATTTTCTACCCCCTTTCCTTCCCTTTATCTGGAAATGGTATGACTAGAACAGAAGTGGAAGCCCCAAATTGAGCATAGCAGAGCTGCCTCACTAGCCTGGGTTCCTGGATGACATAATGGAGCAGAGATCATCTATTTGTTCTAGAGAGTTACACGAGAGAGAAAAGAAGTGTACCTCATTTGAGCCAATAATTTTGGTGTCTCCTTGTATAAAGTCAGAAAAATAAAAGCAACTTAGCTTTTATTGTAATTCAAATTATTTCAAAAGTCTCTATAATCAATGTCATATTATTGAAAATAAATGAATCTACTGACGTCTATAAACCAAAGAGGCAGGGTGCAAAGGGAATAAGCATAAGTATATATTTAAAGAGGAAAGATTTTTAAAAATTAGACAGATATGAAAGGTTTTATTCTCTCTCTCCAGATTCATGTGTATGTATTTTCATGTGTGTGCATATATATACACACATACACATATATAACACTACATAATTATTTGTAATATTGTTTAATTATATATATTTTAATATATACAATTTATTATATATTTTAATATATATACAATTTTATTATGTATTAAAATTTTAATATATAATTTTATTTTAATAAATGTAAAATTTTAATACACATAAAATTTTAATATGTATACATACACATATATAGCAGTACATAATTATTTGTGGTATTATTTAATTTTTCATAAATAGAAGTAGAGATATGTAAAATCAGTGGGTAGCTTATTGAGAAAAAAGTAATAAAAAAATTATATTTTAATATGGTTGTCTGACATCTGGGCACTGAGAGCAACTGGAATCCCCCAAATACATTATTTTAGAGTACTAAAAGATATGGTTTGAAAAGATACGTTCTTAGATCAAAAAAGTTTAAAAGCTGCATAGACTCCTTAAAGAAGGGCTTTTTATAGTTTTTTTTCTATTTGTTAATCTATAACTGTGTATCTCCAGGAGAGAGTCTCTTTCCCACAAAATATGTAACGGGACCAATATTTTGTGTTATGCAATGCTGCTTTAAACAAAAGAGTGAAGCCATGCCGACATACTCTGGTTCACAATGAGCTAAAAATATCCATCATGTTAATCCAGACTTCTTCACAGAACTCTTCTCTGCCCTGCCCCTGGGAGACATCTAAACTCTCTCAGACTGATGTTTGGTACTGGCAGAAGCTCAGATACGTTATCTGACCCAGCTATGACCACAACTCACACTTGCCTTGCAAGAGAAGAAGTCGTTACCAGTTTGATTTCAAATGCTCACTTTGTGGGATTTCAGCCTGCATGAGACACTTCGTGTAAAAATGACAAAAATGACAAAACTCAAGGGACTTCCTTATTACATTAATGAAAAAGTTTGTTAACATTTTATTTTTCAAAAAAATGGGCAGTAGTGGTTTGATTTGGGAGGTATGATCAGTCTTGATGCTGCTTTTCTTTTTTTTTTTTTTTTTGAGACGGAGTCTCGCTCTGTCGCCCAGGTCGGACTGCGGACTGCAGTGGCGCAATCTCGGCTCACTGCAAGCTCCGCTTCCCGGGTTCACGCCATTCTCCTGCCTCAGCCTCCCGAGTAGCTGGGACTACAGGCGCCCGCCACCGCGCCCAGCTAATTTTTTGTATTTTTAGTAGAGACGGGGTTTCACCTTGTTAGCCAGGATGGTCTCGATCTCCTGACCTCATGATCCACCCGCCTCGGCCTCCCAAAGTGCTGGGATTACAGGCGTGAGCCACCGCGCCCGGCCGCTGCTTTTCGTTTTAGAGTCTTGGGTCCCTGTGACAAAGCTGTAGCTGGAACCTGAAAGTGAAGCAGCCTGCTGTTCCCAAGAACAAGCGCATGCAAGAGATGAGGGATACTGTGAGAAAATTAGTTTTTCTTTAGAAACTTCCAAGTTCCCTTATGGAAAACAGCTTCTGAAATCATAAATGAAATAAAAAGACAAAATCAACCGAGAGTAAGGAGGAGAGAAACATCCACAGTTGCCGGCACAAAAGCAAGAAAGAAATTGATAGAGATATGGAGGAGAAAATGTACAAAACTGCCAAAGATGAGGTACCCAGATATAAACGATGAAGCTCCAGACTTTTCTCTGCTGGCTTCTTATGGCCCAGGAACACTTGCATGAAATGAACTAAAAATCATAATTTAAATAATAACGATAGCAAGAGAAGGAGAAATGCCAAGTGGGAACTCTCCCTGGAAACTTAAGCTAGTATAGTAACTCCTGATAATTTTACAATACCTTACACTGCAAATATACAGTCTATTGTTGTTACCCTGAGCTTGCAGTTAGATTCATTGTGAATCTCCATCCACCCCCAAATGCCGGGAATACCAGTAAGGGATTTGACTTATCATATACTCTATCGGTGAAATGGGGTAATGTTTATACCACCAACATTTTTATAAGAATATTGTGAAGATAAAATTAAGAAGTTCAGAAAAAACACTCAGCATATAATGATCAATTAGTAAATATTAATAGTTTTTGTTGTGTTTACAAACATTTATATCTTTTGTCACACATTTTTCTTCATAGTACTTTGGTACTTTGGTAACATTATCTCTTCCATTTAGATAACTATGCTGACAATCAAAAAGGTTAACCTAGTCAAAGTCACTGAACTTCCAAAGATAACTCAAATGTGGGTTTCCTAATTGTGAATTCAGTGATTGTCTTTCTTCCTTACTACATCATGGCCATTTTCAGAGCCAAATTTAGAGATCTAATGTACAGCAAGAGGACTGTAGTTGATAATGTACTGTATAGCAAAAATTCACTGAGTAGATTTTAGAAACACATGCACACACACACACACACACACACACACAAAGGTAACTATCAAAGTGATGAATTTGTGAATTTGTTTGGCGGTGGTAATCATTTCATTATGTATATCTGTTTCAAAACACATTTTGTACACCTCAAATGTATACAACACAAAATGAATGTGATTAATTCAGTGATTAAGTTAAAGCTCATTGTGATTATTAATTTTAATGCAAAATACTTTGTTTTAAAAATTCCTTTTACAATTCTTTGATTGTAAAGCTGTAAATTAAGTATGCTACCAGATATTGATTGTAACAGAAATTCCCACATTTGGGTGATCCTTTTGATAGTCCCATCTACAGGTAAGTTCTCAGGCTAAGACTTATTTTTTATAGTTCAGTGGGTTTAAGATTGGAATAACTGGCTAGCCATATGCTGAAGAATGAAGCTGAACTCCACCTTTCACCATATACAAAAATTAACTCGAAATGCATCAAAGATTTAAATGTAAGACTTCAAACTATAAAAATCCTAGGAGAAAACTTAGGAAATACTCTTCTCAACACTGGCACTGGCAAATAATTTTTGGCTAAGCCCCAAAAAGCAATCGAAAACAAAACAAAAATTGAGAAGTGAGACCCAATTAAACTAAAGAGCTTCTGCACAGCAAATAAAACTATCAACAGAGTAAATAGACAACCTACAGAATGGGCGAAAGTATTTGCAAACTATGAATCTAATGAAGGCCTAATATCCAGAATCTATAGAGAACTTAAATCAGCAAGCAAGCAAGCAAACAAACAAACAAAAGCACAAAAAAACCCCACAAATAACTCCATGAAAAAAAATGGGCAAATGACATGAACAGACATCTCTCAAAAGAAAACATACAAGTAGCCAACAAACATGTAAAAAAAAGCTTAGTATCATGAATCATCAGAGAAATACAAATCAAAACCACAATGAGATTTCACACCAGTCAGAATGACTATTATGAAAAAGCCAAAAAACTATAGATGCTGGCAAGGCTACAGAGAAAAAAGAATGCTTATACACTGTTGGTAGGAATGTAAATTAGTTCTGCCACTGTAGAAAGCAGTTTGGAGATTCCTCAAAGAAATTAAAACAAGGCTATCATTAGACCCAGCAATCCCATTACTGGGTATATACCCAAAGGAAAATAGTTCATTCTACCAAAAAGACACATGAACTCGTATGTTCTCCACTGTGCTATTCGAAATAGCAAAGATATAGAATCAACTTAGGTGCTCATCAATGGTTGACTGGAAAAAGAAAATATGGTACATATATACCACAGAATACTACACAGCCATAAAAATAATAAAATCCTGTCCTTTGCAGCAACATGGATGCAGTTGGAGGTCATAATCCTAAACGAATTAACACAGGAACAAAAAATCAAATACCACACATTCTCACTTAAAAATAGGAGCTGAACCTTGAGCACACATGGAAATAAACATGGGAACAATAGACACTAGGGACTACTAGAGTGGGGAGGTGAGGGAGGGGGTGTGAATTGTAAAACTACCTATGGGTTACTGTGCTCACCTGGGTGATAGGATCATTTGTACTCCAAACTTCAGCATCACTCAATATACCCATCTAACAAACCTGCACATGTACCTCTTGTATCTAAAAGTTGAAGAAAAAAGTAAACAAAAAAATAAGAGAGAAAGTTCTGTTCATAAGTTTTTAACTAAGAATATTGTCTTTAGGTGGAATTTATAAACCCCAGATTCTAGTGTTTCATTTAGATTATTGAAAGATCCATAATGCAATTCACAAAGTGAAATTTGTTAGCAATCTGAGGGCATCGTAGAAACAGCTGTGGTTTCTTTTTATTAAAATTTAAGTATATTAAAGTATTCAAACACACAGAAAACTAACCAACTTCCATATACGTACCCCCTGTATTAAAAAGAAGCTTATGATTGACACATTACACTGAATTTGGTACATCTTTCCCATTCATCTTTTAATCATTTTTGTACACATGTATCAAAGGTAAACAATATATAGTATGAGTTTTGTGTTTTAAAATTTCATACCTATGGAATCGTATTGTAAGTATTATTCTGCAATTTACTATTTATAATTAACAAATAATAATTATGTGTATTTATAAGGTATAATGTGATGTTTTAATCTATAAATACATTGTAGGAATATTCAGTTAAGCTAATTAATATAACTGTCACCTCACCAACTCATTTTTTTGTGGGGAGAATGTTAAAAATCTATTCTTTTAGCAATTTAAAAATATATAACACATTAATTGTGGTCTCCATGCAATGCAATAGATCACCAAAACTTCTTCCTCCAATCCAAGACTTTGTACCCTTTGATCAATATCTTCTCTATTCCATTTCTTCTCTTCCTCATCCCTCAGCCTCTGGTAACTAACATTCTACTCTCTGTTTCTATGAGATAGACTCTTTAATTTTAAGATAGACTTAATATTCCACACATAAGTAAGATCATGCAGTATTTGTCTGTATCTGGCTTGTTTCACTTTGCATAATATCCTCTAGTTTCTCAATGTTGTCACAAATGACAGAATTTTCTTTCTTTTTAAGGCTGACTCATGTTCCACTGGCATCATAGAAACAGCTGTGGTTTCTTTTTATTAAAATTTAAGTACATACATTATACATACTACATTTCCCCTGTCATTTATCTGTTGATGGACACTTATGTTGCTTCCATAGCCTCGCTATTATGAATAACAGTGCAGTGAATATGGTGATGCAGACTTCTCTCTGACATAACAATTTCAATTCCTTTGCATATATACTGAAAACTAAAATTGCTAGATTATTTACTAATTCTATTTTTAGTTTTTAAAGGAATCTTCATACTACTTTCAAAAGTTGCTGTACTAATTTATATTGATCAATAGTATACAAGTGTTCTCTTTTGTCCACATTCTTGCCAACACTTATTATTTGCATTTTTGATATTAGCCACTCTAACTGGTGTGAAGTGATATCCTGGTTTCTATTTGAATTTCTCTGATTAGAGATGTTGAACATTTAAAACATATATTTAACATCTCTTCTTTTGAGAAATGCCTGTGTAGACCCTTTGTCTATTTTTTAACTGGGTTTTTTTTTTTTTACTATTGAGTTGTTTGAGTTCCTTATATATTTTGGTTTATTAGCCTCTTATAAGATATATGGTTTGCAAATATTCTTTCACAATCTTGGTATGGTATCTACACTTTGTTAATTGATTCCTTTGCTGTGCAGAAGGCTTTTCATTTAACACAGTCTCATTTACCTGTTTTTGTTTTGTTGCCTGTGCTTTTGGACTCCTATCCAAAAAATCGCTAACCAAACCAACGTTTCAGAGCTTTTTCTATGTGTTCTTCTGGTAACATAACAGTGTCAGATCATACATTTCAGTCTTTTATCTATTTTGAGTTGATTTTTGTATATGGTGTGAGATAAAGATTTAATTTTATTATTCTGCATGTGGATATATAGTTTTCCCACCACCATGTATTAAAGAGGTTGTCTGTTCCTCATAGTATATTTTTGGCACTTTTGTCAAAAATCAATTGACTATAAATACCTTGGTTTATTTCTGGGCTTTATATCATGTTCTACTAGTGGGAGTGTTTCTGTTGTGAGGGTACCATGCTATTTTGATTACAATAGCTTTATGACATATTTTGAAATCAGGAAGTGTGATGCCTCCAGCTTTGTACTTTTTGCTCAAGATTACTTGGAATATTGAGAGTCTTTTCTTGATTCCATATGAGTTGGAATTTTTTTTTCTCTTTCTGTAGGAAATGACATTGGGATTTTGATAGGAATTACATTGAATCTATAGATAACTTTCAGTAGTATGGACTTTTTAACAATATTAATTCTTCCAATCCATGAACATGGAATACCTTTCCATTTATTTGTGTCTTCTTCAATTTCTTTTCTCAACATTTTGTAGTTTTCAGTGTACACATCTTTTACTTCCTTCATTAAATTTACTCCTAAGTCTTTTATTTTGTTGGTACTATTATGTGGAAGTAGTTTTTAAATTTATTATTTCAATTGCTCGTTGTTAGGGTCTAGAAACACTACTAATTTTTGCCTGTTGGTTTTGTAAACTGCAGTTTTACTGAACTGATTAGTTCCAATAATTTTTCCAAAGAAATTTTTAGAGTTTTTTTATATATAAGATTATGTCCATATCCATCCAGCAAACAATGACAATTGCACTTCTTCTTTTATTATATGCATGCCTTTTACTACTTTTTCTTGCTTAATTGCTCTGGCTAGGATTTCTAGTACTATGTTAGATAGAGGTGGTAAGAGTGGGCATCTTTGTGTTGTTCCTGATGTTAGAGGAAAAGCTTTTAATTCTTCACCATTGAGAATAATGTTAGCTGTAGCCTTGTCATACATTACCTTTATTATGTTGAGGTATTTTCCTTATATAGTTATTCTTGACAATTTTAATCATAAATGAATGACATGTTTAAATACAAATCATAAATATAATATATATATTGAAATACAAATATACCCCATTTGCCCTCAGCTCCATATGCCTTATGTGAGTTCTCTACCCAGTAGGATAATTGAATTCTTAGTTCCTAGGGCTCTGAGTCCTTGGCAGTCTTGCCTAGATGGTGTTGCTATCACACTATTTTTAGCGATTAAAAAAAAAAACTATCTCCAGGATTCCAAATGTTCTTCTCCTTGTTTCCATTGCATAGTAGTCTATTTTTTAAAGTAAACTACTATGTTACAGAAACAATCATTTGCATATATGTATTTATATATGTATATATAAATGTGCATATATATATACACGTGTATATATATAAATTATTATATATGTGAGTGTTGCTCAGGTTATAGGACTAACCTGAGGCAGCAGGGGGCTCTGCTCATCACAGTCTCTCAGAAACCCAGGCTGTTGGATGCTCCAACTTGACACAATCTTACCTGATGACTAATGCAAGAAAAGTAGAAGAAGGCAAATTATTTAACATATCTTAATATTTCTGCTCACATTTCATGGGCCTTTGCTCAAGTTACCAGGCCAAGAAGGCTATGACTATATTCAAAGACACAGGGAGATGCAACACTACCATATGCCTGAAAAGAGGAGAAACAGATTTGGGAATAACTTGGTGATAACTACCATATGCAGCAACTTTATTTTACCTTGATAAATCATTATTACACACCACAGTCAATACTTCCTTTTTTTTCTTGTTCATTTAATTATATGTGAATCTAAATAGGTAAGGTGATATGCTTAACTTTTAGTCTCTAGAAAAATTGCTATGCCCCTGGCAAAAGCATTTCTTTCCTTAGGAACTAAATTCTCTAAAATGGCAGTACCTAGAATCATTGTATGAAAAGTAAAAAATATGTGCCTGGTCGCAATAATGAGTGGTGTCACTCCAATTTCCATCCCTTCCATCACAGTCTGATACGGTTTGGCTTTGTCCCCACCCAAATCTCAACCCAAATTGTATCTCCCAGAATTTCCACATGTTGTGGGAGGGACCCAGGGGGAGGTAATTGAATCATGGGAGCCAGTCTTTGCCGTGCTATTCTGGTGATAATGAATAAGTCTCATGAGAGCTCATGTTTTGTCTGGGGTTTCTGCTTTTCTTATTTTTCATTTTCTCTTGCTGCAGCCATGTAGGAACTGCCTTTTGCTCCCCACCATGATTCTGAGGCTTCCCCAGCCGTGTGGAACTGTAAGTTCAATTAAACCTCTTTTTCTTCCCAGTCTTGGGTATGTCTTTATCAGCAGTATGAAAATGGACTAATACAGTAAATTTGTACCAGTAGAGCGGGTGTTGCTGGAAAGATACCTGAAAATGTGGAAGTGACTTTGGAACTGGGTAACCGGGAGACATTGGAACAGGTTAAAGGATTCAGAAGACAGGAAAATGTGAGAAAGTTTGCAACTTCCTCGAGACTTGTTGAATGGCTTTGCCCAAAATGCTGATAGCGATATGGACAATAAAATCCAGGCTGAGGTGATCTCAGATGGAGATGAGGAACTTGTTGGGAAGTGGAGCAAAGGTGACCCTTGTTATGTGTTAGCAAAGAGGCTGGCAGCATTTTGCCCTTGCCGTAGAGATTTATGGAAGTTTGAACTGAGAGAGATGATTTAGGGTATCTGGAGGAAGAAATTTCTAAGCAGCAAGCATTCAAGAGGTGATTTTGGTGCTGTTAAAGGCATTCAGTTTTATAAGGCATAAAAGTTAAAAGCATAAAATAAAAGTTTGAAAAATTGAAAAGTTTATAAAAGCATAAAAGTTTGAAAAATTTGCAGCCTGACTATGCAATAGAAAATAAAAACCCATTTTCTGGGGAGAAATTCAAGCTGGCTGCAGAAATTTGCATAAGCCGCAAGGAGCCTAATGTTAGTCCCCAAAACCGTGGAGAAAATGTCTCCAGGCCATGTCAGAGACCTTCATGGCAGTCCCTCCCATCACAGGCCTAGAGGCCCAGGAGGAAAATGTGGTTTTGTGTGCCGGGCCCAGGGTCCCCATGCTGTGTGCAGCCTAGGGACCAGATGCTCTGTGTCCCAGCTGCTCCAGATGTGGATGAAAAGGGCCAATGTACAGCTCAGTCTGTGGCTTCAGAGGGTGGACGCACCAAACCTTGGCAGCTTCCACGTGGTGTTGAGCCTGCGAGTGCACAGAAGTCAAGAATTGAGGTTTGAGAACCTCTGCTTAGATTTCAGAAGATGTATGGAAATGTCTGAATGCCCAGGCAAAAGTTTGCTACAGGGGTGGGGCCCTCATGGAGAACCCCTGCTAGGGCAGTGTGGAAGGGAAATATGGGGTTGGAGCCCCGAGATAGAGTCCCTACTGGGGCACTGCCCAGTGGAGCTGTGAGAAGAAGGCCACTGTCCTTCAGACCCCAGAATGGTAGATGCAACTGGCAGCTTGCACCATGCACCTGGAAAAGCCATAGACACTCAATGCCAGCCTGTGAAAGCAGCCAGGAGGGAGGCTGTACCCTGCAAAGCCACAAGGGCAGAGCTGCCTAAGACCACGGGAACCCACCTCTTGCATCAGCATGATCTGGATATGATACCTGGAGTCAAAGTAGATCATTTTGGAGCTTTAAAATTTGACTGCCTTGCTGTATTTCAGACTTTTATGGGCCCTGTAACCCCTTTGTTTTGGATAATTTCTCCCATTTGGAATGGCTATATTTACCCAATATCTATACTCCCACTGTAACTAGGAAGTAACTAGCTTACTCTTGATTTTACAGGCTCGTAGGTAGAAGGGACTTGCCTTGTCTCAGATAAGACTTTGGACTGTGGACATTTGGGTTAATGTTGAAATGAATTAAGACTTTGGGGGACTGTTGGGAAGGCATGATTGGTTTTGAAATGAGAGGACATGAGATTTGGAGGGGCCTGGGTGGAATGATATGGTTCAGCTCTGTCCCCACCCAAATCTCAACTCAAATTGTATCTCCCAGAATTCCTGCATGTGTGGGAGGGACACAGGGGGAGGTAACTGAATCACGGGAACGGGTCTTTCCTGTACTGTTCTCATGATAGTGAATAAATCTCATGAGATCTGTTGGGTTTATCAGGACTTTCTGTTTCTGCTTCTTTCTCATTTTCTCTTGCCACTGCCATGTAAAAAGTGCCTTTTGCCCCCTGCCATGATTCTGAGGCCTCCCAAGCCAAGTGGAACTGTAAGTCCAATTAAACCTCTTTTTCTTCCCAGTCTCAGGCATGCCTTTATCTGCAGCATTGAAACAAACTAATACACAATCCTATATTCAAGCCATGAGAGAAATAACATCATATAAAACATCTTTCAGGAGAGAGGATCTGTTTCACAAGTTGGTGTCTTTTAGCTTGTGATGTAACTGAGTGTTCAATTGGCTATTCCACTGTTCCTTAAAGCCACTTACTAGTATGTGATGGACATATGGTATGGCCTGTGAATATCATGCTTTCTCTTTTGTACCTTGCTTTATCTTTTATGAAATGAGGTCCTTTGTTAGATGCATCATAATATGGAGTACTGATAAGGCAAGAAAAGATGGGCACTTTTCTTTGGTCAAGCCTCCTAGGAAACCAGCTTTGAGTCAGCTTTGTATGAAGAAGGTTTCTTGGAACATGTTCTCCAGAAAATTTGCAAGGGAGTGCAGAAGGAGGGTTAAGCATAAAGAGAAAGTCAGTTGCAATGAAGTTGCAATAGAGCACTCAGCCTATTCTTCAGAGAGCTCTGGAGCTAAGATGACCTTTCACTGAGATGAGGGCTGGGACTCAACCTATACCCCTGCCTCAACCTGTCACTAATTGCAGGATACACTGGGAAAAATGTATAAACTCAGGCAAAGCAGCTCCTTTGGGTGGGAGAAATTCCCAGAAAGATTGTTAGCTGTGAGCCAACAGCAGCTGACTCTCCCAGCAGCTGGGGAAATGTTCATTACTGCTGCTTTACAAATGGGGTTACTCAGCTGGGCAGTAGCCATTCTAGCCATAGCAAGGGGAAGTGACATTGTTTAGTACATGTACAACTTCCATTGTAACTAACATGGATAGTCTGCTAAGGTGATTATATTTTTATTCTTTAATTTATTAATATATTGCATTGTTAAATTTTTCTGATGTTACACCAGCCTTACATTCTTAAGAAAATCTTTTCTTGGGCAAGATTAAATCTAGACACACTGCTACGTTTGATTTCCCAATATTGTATTAGAATTTTTTTTATCTATGTTCATAAGTATGATTGGTCTATAATTATCTAGTTCTCTACTTATCTAATTTTCATGTCAAGATTGAATCAGTCTCATAAAAAGGTTGGATTTTTAACCTTTTTTATCTGTTCTTTGAAACTGGTGTGAAGAATTATCTTTTCATTTCAGTTTACAGAAAATTTACAAGTAAAATTCTTTTACCAATCTGACCTCATCTTCTACTCCTCCTTGCCCTTCTATTCCCTCTGATCCAGTGTTACTGGTCCTTTTGCTGTACTGGGAGCATGTGAGGCAACTGCCTGCATTGCCATTCTGATCTAGCTCTTTCCTCTGTTTGTAGTGCTCTTTCTCTGATATCAGCAGAGTGATTTTCCTCCCTCCTGAAACTCCCTGCATAGATGGGCGTACTCTGACTTCCAATTTAAAACCTCAGTCAGACTATGAACTCATATCCACCTCACTCCACTCACCCCTACCCCTTACCATGTTCTATATAATTAACTTATTTTTAATAGTTTATTGTTGTCTCCCCTTACTAGAATTTCAACTCTTTAAATATAGTATTTTTGTTATTGTTTCGTTTCATTTACTGATCAGCCCAAGTGCCTAGCATAGTGTCTGACACATAGTAGGGCCTCAATAAATAGGGGGAAAGAGAAGGGATGAAAGTTTTTTTTACCACTCATTTAATTTCATTAATAATTATTGTTTTCATAAATGATTAAAGTTTACTTTTTCTTCTTCTTAAGTAAGTCAATTCTGGTAATGTATACTTTTCCATAATATTGCCATTTCTCTAACTTGTAAAATTATTGGCAAATGTTGTTCGTAGTAATTTCATGAGACTTTTGAAATCTCTTATATGTAGTCATATCCTGAATTTTTCATCTCTGACTTGTGTTCTCTCTCAGCTTCTCTCTCTCTTTCTTTTACATTCTTTGATCAGCCATACTTCAGCATAATCTATTTTGTGACTATTTTCAAAGAATCAGCTCCAAATTTGTGGATTAATTTTGTTTTTAAAATTCTATCAATTCATCCTTTATATGATTTATTTTCCTCATTCTTTTAATTTGTAGTATTTTTCTTTTTCTACCTTCTTGAGGTAAATACTTAACTCATTTATTTTCTCCTTTTTTTCTTTTCTTTTTGAGATGTGTTCTCATTCTGTCACCCAGGCTGGAGTGCAATGGCGCTATCTCAGCTCGCTGCAACCTCTGCCTTTTGGGTTCAAAAGATTTCTTAAAGGCACGTGCCACAACACCCAGCTAATTTTTGTATTTTTTTTGTTGAGATGGGGTTTCATCATGTTGTCCAGGCTGGTCTCAAACTCCTGACCTCAAGTGATGCACCCACCTCAGCCTCCCAAAGTGCTGGGATTACAGGCATGAGCCACCGCACCCAGCTTATTTATTTTTAATCATCCTTTTTTAAAAAGTGTTTTTAATACTATAGTGGATCTCTAGTTCCACTTGTACTACATTCCACAAGGGCTGATGTATAGTTTATTTGTTGTCATTGAGTTCTAAATATTTTATAATTTTCATTGTGTTTTCTTCTTAAATCTATTTGTTATTTAGGAGTATTTCCTTTTTTTATATATGTAGCTTTGGGTTCTAATGTTTCTAATTTATATATGTTATGGACAGAGATCGTATGCCATATGATAGCAATTATTTGAAGTGTATTAAGAATTTATTTTGTGGTCTAATACTGTGGAAGTCTGTGGTGGAAAACTTACTTTTGTATTTGTATGTATCAGTCAGTTCTTATTTAACCCCAAATCAAGAATACAATTTTGGTTGGATATGAAATTTCAGATTGGTAACTATTTTTCTTCAGGTTGCTACCTTTAGATGCCCGTGTGTTCTGGCATTTAGTGTGGCTAAGGTCTGCTGTCACTTTAATTGTCTTTTCATTACAGTTAAGATGACTTTTCTCTCTGATGCCTTTTAGGATTTTCTTTTTATCTTTGAGGTTCTGAAGTTTCACTCAGAAATATTTGGGTGTGGATTTATTTTTAATCGTCCCTGGAGTTTCCATCTCTCTTCTTACATTAGCAATCTGTTTTTGCATGTTATCTAATTTTTCCATTAAAACTCTTATATTAATCATAGTTATTTTAGATTTCACGTCTGATCATTCCTAAATCTGCGTCATATCTGGTTCTTGTTCACATGCTTACTTTGCTCCTTTATACAGTGTATGTAAATGTGTGTGCAGTGCATGCATGTACATGTGTGCACATTGCCTTTTTACATGCTTGGCAATTTTTTTGTTGAAAGCCAAACTTGATGAATTGAGTAATAGGAACTGATATATAGGACTTCAGTGAGAGAATTTATGTTAATCTGGCCGGGAACTGGGCTGTGTTTAATGTTTGTTCTTGCAGCTGGTACTAGAGGTTCAAATTACTCTAGTGTTCTTGTTTTTTGTCTCCTTTCTTGACATTGGGATTTGCTATGTACTCCTTCTAAGAATCTGCATTTTGCAGCTCATTCACTATGATCCACTATTATCATACTCAAGTCCTATTGATATGGTAGGAAAGTGTGGAGGACATTCTATAACCTTATTATGAAATCTCAATCTTTTAGTGGACCTGTGACCCTGGCTGGTCCTTTATAGTCTTTCTTAGCTTTCCCTCTTAGGTAAGACAGGAAGAGTAGAAGGAATTAGAGTGCCCTAAATACTTTTCCCAGAGGTCGGCTATGGCTCTGGTAGGTTTTCATGGTGGAGAATACTTTGGGTGCATTTTAGAATTACTAATACTTTCTTCCCTCTGACAGAAGCAATAGATCTGTCTAGGCTCTTAATCACAAGAACTGGGTAAGTTTCATGGAGGTAAGGCCCATGAAAGTGTGGGGGACCCCTTAGCCTGCCTGGCCTTCCCAGAGTTTCTCACTCTCACATGAGTCCGCACTCAACCATCAGGAATTCTTCAAAATTACCATTTACATATTTGTACCAGTTTATAGCTCTAGCAGCTTCTGCTCCAGATTATCAGAGGTTGGTCGCTGTGACTGTCTGGATTTATCTTTCTCTGCAAATTTCAGACTGGAAGTTTGCTTTGAGACCTCAATTTTCTGATGGATAGAAGAGGAGTAATTGATTTTCTGTTTTATTCAGCTTTCTCTTGTAAGAAAGGGAGTGATGACATCTTAAGCTCTTTACATATTAGAGCTAAATATTTTCAGTCATTTTTGAATTTTCTATTCCGAAAGATATTAAGTTTTTGGAGTAATAAGAAATAATAGGTTTTTGGCTGGGTGCGGTGTCCCAAGCCTGCCATACCAGCACTTTGGGAAGCCGAGGGCGGCGGATTGCTCTAGCCCAGGAGTTAGAGAACACCCTGGGCAACATGGTGAAACTTCATCTCTACAAAATATACAAAAATTAGCTAGGCATGCTGGCCCAAGCCTGTAGTCTCAGCTGCTAGGGAGACCAAAATGGGAGGACTGCTTGAGCCTGGGAGGAAGAGGTTGCAGTGAGGAGAGATCGTGCCGTTGTACTCTAGTGGGGGCAACAGAGTGAGGCCCTGTCTTTCTCACACACACTAATATAATAATAATAGATTTTTTTTATTTTAAAAGTACTTTATAGGGGATGAAAACTCCACCCAGTCACTCAGTCATCAGTTTTAAATGATAAGTTGAGCTTTTGATTCTTATCCTTGTAAGGCATCCATTATAGTTTCTAATAGGGTAACTATTAGGACCCTAGCCAGGTCTGCCAGACTCCAGACTTGGCAACTGTCGGACCAAGACCTCTAGCTTTTGATTTGTTGCTATTTGATCTCTGGCCTATAGAACTGTTTATCTCTTTTTGAAATAGAGCTCTTTAAAAATGTATGGTTGTCTTATATTTTATCCATTAGTCCTGTGTCTTACAGTAACACAGGACGATACGTTTAAAGCCTGAACCTATTGAGTTTGGAACTCTGAAGTTTATTTTAACTTTAGCATTGACTTTTGGACATCTTTGATGTAAGTAATCATATACACAAATTACATTTAGTCCTTTTGGTTTTTGTTTTTAAATTGTGTATTAATACATAATATTTGTATATTTTATGGAGTACGTGTGGTATTTTGTTACGTGTGTAGAATGTGTAGTGATCAAGTCAGGATATTTAGGGCATCTATCACCTTGAGCACTTATTATTTGTATGTGTTGGGAACATTTCAAGTCCCCTCTTCTATCCATTTTTAAATATACAATACATTGTTGTTAACTCTAGTTACCCTACTCTGCTATTAAATTTAAGAACTTATTCCTTTTATCTAACTGTATATTTGTACCCATTAACAAATCACTCTTTATCTCCTTCCAATACCTGTTCCCCACATTACAAACACCCTTCTTAGCCTCTGGTTACTATCAATCTACTCTGTACCTCTATAAGATCAACTTTTTAAATTTTCATATGTAAGTGAAAATATTCACTATTTGTCTTTTTATGATTGGCTTATCTCATTTAACATAATGACTTCCAGCTCCATTTACGTAGCTGCAAATGACAGGATTTCATTCTTTTTTATGGCTGAAGAGTATTCTATTGTGTATATATACCACAATTTCTTTATCCATTCATTTATTGATGGACATGTGGGTTTATTCCCTATCTTTGCTATTGTCAATAATACTGCAGTAAAATGGAAGCGTCAGTATCACTTTGATGTACTGTTTTTCTTTTCCTTGGCTAAATACCCACTAGTGGGATTGCTTGATCTCATGGTAGTTCTATTTTTTGTTTTTTTTGAAAAATCTCCATACTGTTTGCTGCACTAATTTACATTCCTGTCAACAATGTATAAGAGTTCCCTTTACTCCACATCTTCACAAGCATCTATTTTTTATTTTTAATAAGAGCCATTCTAACTGGAATAAGATGATACACAATATGTATCACAGTAATATATTCAAGGAAAAAAGAATAAAAAAAAGTTCCATCCAAGTGATAGTAAATTCAAAAATAGGAAGTGACAGCTTTCTCAGGTGAGAAGGAATCAGTAGAAAAACTCCAGCAGTACAAAGGGACAGAATGTCTCAACACCACTAAGGGATCACACTAACTCTTTAGCAATAGATCCTAACCAAAATGAAAAGTCTGAAATGACAGATAAAGAATTCAAAGTATGGATTGTAAGGAAACTCAGTGAGATCTAAGAGAAAGTGAAAAATCAACACAAGGAAACAAAAAAAAAAAAATCAAGGATATGAAAGATGAGATAGTTATTTTAAAAAAACATATAAGAAGAAATAAAATTTCTTGAATTGAAAAATTTACTAAAGGAATTTTAAAATACAGTTGAAAGTTAAAAGTAGACTAGAAGAAGCAGAAGAAATAATTTCAGACTTTGAAGACCTGTCTTTGGAATTAACCCATCAGACAAAAATAATGAAAAAAGAATTTAAAAACAAACCAAGCCTTCCAGAAACATGGGATTATGTGAAGGCAACCAAACCTATGACTTAGTGGCATTCCTGAGAGAGAAGAAAAAGTAAGCCACTTGGCAAACATTCTTAAGAAAATCATTCAAGAGAAATTTTATTTTGCTAGACAGGTTGACATGCAGCCACAAGAAATTCAAAGAATATCTGCAAGATACTACACTAGATGACCATCATCAATGCAAATACTCATCAGACTGTCCAGTCAAAATGAAAGAAAGAGTCTTAAAGGAAGCTAGCGAAAAGGGCCATGTTATCTATTAAAAAGTCCCACTAGACTAACAGCTTACTTCTCAGCAGAATCTTACAAGTCAGAGGACATTAGTGGCCTATTTTTAGCTTTCCTAAAGAAAGAACAAAAATGCTGGCCAATAATTTTATATCCTGCTAAAGTAAGCTTCATGTAAAAGAGAAATAGTCTTTCCAGACAAGTAAATTGTAAGAGAATTTGTCATCACCAGAATAGATCTACAAGAAATGCTCAAAGAAGTTCTAACATGGAAATGAAAGAGTTTACAGAAACACACATAAGTGAAAAGTTTATAGATCCTATATAGCAATTACACAATTAAAATTACAAAGCAACTAGCTAACAACACTATGACAGGCACAAAACCTCACATATCAATATTAACTTTGAAAATAAATGGCCTAAATGCTTCAATTGAAAGACTTAGATTGGCAAATTGGATAAAGAACAAGACTCAACCATCTGCTGCATTCAAGAGACCCATCTTACAATTAATGACACACATAGACTCAAAGTAAAGTGGTGGAGAAAGATCTATCACGAAAATGAAACACAAAAAAGATCAGGGGTTGCTATTCTTGTATCAGATGAAACAAACATTGAATCAACAACGTTTTAAAACGGTAAAAATAATGAAGTTTTAATTCAAAAAGAAGATTTAACTATCCTAAATATATGCACATCCATCACTGGAGCACCCGCGTTTGTAAAACAAATACTTCTAAACATCAGAAAAGAGATAAATAGCCATGTAATGATATTGGAGGACTTCAAAACACCATTGACAGCACTAGGCTGATCATTGAGGCAGAAAAGTAACAAAGAAATTCTAAACTTAAATTGGACTCTTAACCAAATGGATCTAATAGACATGTACAAAATATTTCACCCAACAATCACAGAATATACAATTTTCTCATTTGGACATGGAATATTCTCTAAAATTAATCATATGCTTGGTTGTAAAGCAAGTCTCAATAAATTCAAAAAAATAAAATTATATCAAGCATCTGTTCAGACTACAGTGTAATAAAATTAGAAATCAATACCAAGAGAAACTCTAAAAAACACACACAAGTACATGGACACTGCACAACTTGTTCCTCAATGATTTTGGATAAACAGCAAATAAGGAAGGAATCAAAATATTTCTTGAAATGAATTAAAATGGAGATAAAACATACCAAAACCTTTGTGGTGCAGCAAAGGGAGTGTTAAGTTGAAATTTTATGTTACTAAATGCCTACATCAAAACAATAGAAAGATCTTAAATTTACAAGCTAATCCTGTCCTAAAGTAACTAGAAAAACTAAAACAGACAAAACCCAAAAGTAGCAGAGGAAAGGAAATAACAAAGAACAGAGGAAAACTAAATGAAATTGAGATTAACAACAACAAAAAAAATACAAAGGATTAATGAAACAGAAAGTTGATTTTTTGAAAGGATAAACAAATTGATAGACCATTAGCTAGATTAATCAAGAGAAAAAAGAGATACCATTCAAATAAGAAAAAATCATAAATTATATATGCAGCATTACCACTTATACCACAAAAATACAAAAGATCCTCAGAGACAACTATGTGCAACTCTATGTGTACAAACTAAAAAACCTAGAGGAAATGGATAAATATCTGGAAACATACAACCTCCCAAGTTTGAACCAGGAAGAAATAGAAATCCTAAACAGACCAGTAATAGTTTATGAAATTCAATCAGTTATTTAAAAATATACTACCCAGAAAAAGCTCAGGACCAGATGGATTCAGTCAAATTCTAGTAGACATACAAAGAAAAGCGGATACCAATTTTACTGAGACTACTTGAAAAAATAGAGTAGGAAGGATTCCTCCTTAACTCATTCTATAAAACCAGTATTACCCTGATACCAAAATCTGGGTAGCACACACACAAAAATATTCCTGATGAACATAAATGCAAAAATATTCAACAAAATACAGGCAAACCGAATCCAGCAACACATCAAAAAGATAATTCATCAAGATCAAGTGAGGAGTTTTATTCCAGGAATTCAAGGATGGTTTAACATGTACAAATCAATAAACGTGATTCACCATGTAAACATAATTAAAAACAAAAGCCATATGACCATTTCAATAGATGCAGAAAAAAAATTCAATAATATCCCAAATCCCTTCATAGTAAAATTTCTCAACAACTAGGGCATTGAAAGACAATACTTCAAAATAATAAAAGCCAACTATGACAAACCTACAAGCAACATCATATTGAATGGGGAAAAGTTGAAAGCACTCCCCCTAAGAACTGGAATAAGAGAAGGACACCTAATCTCACCACTTCTTTTCACCATAGTACTGGAAGTGTTAGCCAGAGCAATCAGGCAAGCAAAATAAATAAAAGACATCCAAATAGGAAATTAGGAGGTCTAGTTACCTTTGTTTACTGATGACATGATCCTATACCCAGAAAATCATAAAGATTCCTCCAAAAGACTCCTGGACGGGATAAATGACTCTACAAAGTTTCAGGATACAAAATTAATGCATGAAAATCAGTTGGATTTTTATACATCAACCACATTCAAGTGGAAAATCAAATCAGGAACCCAATCCCATTTATAATTGCCACAAAGATAATAAAACACTTAGGACTACATCTAACCAAGGAAGTGAAAGATCTCTACAAGGAAAACTGCAGATACTGTCGAAAGAAATAGTAGATGACATAAACATACGGAAAAAAATTTCATGTACCTCGATAGGAAAAATCAATATTGTTAAAATGATTATATTGCCCAAAGAAATCTACAGATGCAAGAAAATTCCTATTAAATTACCAAGATCATTTTTCACAGAATTAGAAAAAAAGATTCTAAAATTATTTGGAAGTAACAAAGAGCATGAAGAGCCCAAACAACACTAAGCAAAAACAACAAAGCTGGAGGCATTACATTACCCAATTTCAAACTATAATACAGGGCTATAATATCAAAAACATCATGATACTGGCAGAAAAATTAATCTGCAGATAAATTGATTAGAATAGAGAACCCAAAATAAAGTCACACACCTAAAATCACCTAATCTTTGACAAAGTTGACAAAAATAAACATTGAGGAAAAGCTACCCTATTCAATAAATGTTGCTGGTAAAACTGGCTAGCCATATGCAAAAGAATGAAACTGGACCTCTACCTCTCATTACATACGAAAATCAACCCCAAATCAATTAAAGACTTAAATGTAAGGCCTGAAGCTATAAAACTACTAGATGAAAACCTAGGAAAAACTCTTCTGGAAATTAGCCTTGGCAAATAATTTATGAGGAAGACCTTAAAAGCAAATGCAACAAAAACAAAAACAGATAAATGTGACTAAATTAAACTAAAGAACTTCTGTAGAGTAAAAGGAATAAACAAGAGTTAACAGGTAATCTATAGAATGGGAGAAAATATTTGCAATCTATGAATGTGACAAAGAACTAATATCCAGAGTCCATAAAGAACTTGAACAAATCAACAAGAAAAATACATAACTCCATTAAAAAGTGCACATAAGACATCAACACACACACTTCTCAAAATATATAGAAGCAGCCAACAAACTTAAAAAAAATGCTCGTTACTAAATCATCTTAGAAATGCAAATTAAAATCACAATGATATTCTACCTCAAACCAGTCAGAATAACATATTTAACAGTCAAAAATAACAGATTTTAGTGAGCATGTGGAGAAAAGAGAACACTTACAGACTGTTGATTGGAATATAAATTAGTTTAGCACCTTTGGAAAATAGTATGGTGACTTCTGAAAGGACTAAAAATAGTCATGGCATCAACCTAAGTGTCCATCAAAAGTGGATTGGATAAAGAATATGTGTTGCATATACACCATGGCATGCTATAAAGCCATAAAAAAGAAGAAAATCATGTATTTCACAGCAACATAAATGGAGTTGAAGGCCATCATGGTGAGAGAAAAATCTCAGAAACATTAAATCCAATTCGCATGTCTCACTTATAAGTGAGGGCTAAATAATAGAAATACATGGACATGAAATGGAAATAGTAGACACTGGGGACCCCAAAAGGGGTGATATTGGGAGAGAGGCAAGAGTTGAAGAGCTATATATTAAGTCTTATGTTCAGCATTTGGGTGATGGGTTCAGTAGAAGCCCAAACCCCAGCATTATGCAATATACCCATGTAGCAAATCTACACATTTTTAAATAGAATTTTAAAAAGTGTTCTGTAGATGTCTATTAGGTCCATTTCATCTAAAGTGAAATCTAAGTCCAATAATTTTTCCCATTGTTAATTTTCTGTCTAAATGATCTGTCTAATGCTGAGAGTGTGGTGATCAAATTTCCAACTATTATTGTATTGAAATCGTTTTCTCCCTTTAGATCTAATAATATATTCTTTATATATCTGGATGCTCCAATTTTCAGTGCATGTATATTTATAATTGTTGTATCCTCTTGCTGAATTGATCCCTTTATCATTATACAATGATGTTCTTTGTCTCCTTTTACCGTTTTTTACTTAAAGTCTATTTTATCTGATGTAATTATAGCTACTGCTGCTCACTTGTTTATTTCATTAAGGTAGAATATCTTTTTCCATCTCTTTATTTTCAGCCTATATGTGTCTTTACAGATGAGATAAGTGTCCTTTAGGCAGCGTATATTTGGGTTATGTTTTATTTCTATTCAGTTGGTTTAGATCTTTCAAGTGGAAAATTTAATATGTTTACATTTAAGGTTATTATTGATAAAAACTTATTTATGTCATTTTGTTAACTGTTTTCTGTTTGTTATACCATTTGTTCCTTTTTTTCCCTCTCTTATTATCATTGCACTTTTGTGTTTTCCATAGAAGTAAAGTTTGGGTCTTTTCTCTTCCTTATTTGTATGTTTGCTTTAGCAAATGTCTCAACACCACTAAGCGTTTTTGTGTCCTGTGTTTTTATGATGGTAGATTTACTTCCAGGTGTATTACCCCTGGTGTCCCCACAAATTTCATCTTGAATTGTAGTTACCATAATCCCCACATGCTATGGGAGGGACCTGGTGAGGGGTAATTTAATCATGGGTGCGGTAACCCTCACGCTGTTCTTGTGGTAGTGAATGGGTTCTCATGAGATCTGATGGTTTTTTAAGAGATTTTTCCCCTTTTACCCACTCACTTCTCCTTCTCCTGCCATGTGAAGAAGGACGTGTTTGTTTCCCCTTATGCCATGATTGTAAGTTTCCTAAGGCTTCCCCGGCATGCTGAACTGTGAGTCAATTGAACCTATTTCCTTTATAAATTACCCAGTATCTGGTATTTTATTATTTATTACCAGTGTGAGAACAGACTCATATGGTAAATTGGTACCAGAGAGAGTGGGGTGCTGATGTGAAGATACCCCAAAATGTGGAAGTGACATTGGAATTGGGTAACAGGCAGTGGTTGGAATAGTATGGATGGCTCAGAAGAAGACAGGAAAATGTGGGAAAGTTTGGAACTACCTAGATACATGAAGGGCTTAGAAGACCGGAAGATGTGGGAAAGTTTGGAAAGTCCTAGAGACTTGTTGAATGGCTCTGAGCGAAATGTGATAGTGATATGAATAATGAAGTTCAGGCTGAGGTGATCTCAGATGGAGATGAGGAACTTGTTAGAAACTGGAGTAAAGGCCACTCTTACTATGAAAAGAGACTGGTGACATTTTGCCCCGACCTAGAGATCTGTGGAACTTTCAACTTGAGATAGATGATTTAGGGTATTTGGTGGAAGAAATTTCTAAGTGACAAAGCATTCAAGAGAAAGCAGAGCATAAAAGTTTGGAAAATTTGCAGCCTTATGATGTGATAGTAAAGAAAACCCCATTTTCTGGGGAGAAAGTCAAGCCTGCTGCAGAAATTTGAAAAAGTAATGAAGAGCCAAATGTTAACCATCAAGACAATGGGGAAAATGTCTCCAGGGCATGTTAGAGACCTTCATGGCAGACTCTCCCATCACAGTCACAGAGGCCTAGGATGGAAAAATGATTTCCTGGGCAGGGTCCGGGGCCTCCCTGCCGTATGCAGCCTCAGGATTTGGTGCCCTGCATCCAAGCCACTTCAGCCATGGCTAAAAGGGACCAAGGTACAGCTCAGGCCATTGCTTCAGAGGGTTCAAGCCCAAAGCCTTGGCAGCTTCCATGTGGTGGTGGTCCTGCAGGTTCACAGAAGACTAGAGTTGCAGTTTGGGAACCTCCACCTAGATTTCAGAAGATGTATAGAAACACCTGGATTTCCAGGCAGAAGTCTGATGCAGGGGTGAAGCCTTCATGGAGAGCCTCTGCTAGGGCAGTGTGGAAGGGAAATGTAGGGCCCCCACGCAGATTCCACACTGAGGTACTGCCCAGTGGAGCTGTGAGAAGAGGGTCACCATCCTTCAGACCCCACAATGGTAGATCCACCAACAGCTTTCACCACACACGTGGAAAAGCCCCAGACACTAAATGCCAGCCATGGAAGCAACTGGAGAGGGGGCTGTACCCTGAAAAGCCACAGGGTCAGAGCTACCCAAAGCCATGGGAGCCCACCTTTTGCATCAGCGTGACCTGGATGTGAGACATGGAGTCAAAGGAGACCTGTTTGGAACTTTAAGGTTTAATAACTGTCCTATTGGATTCTGGACTTTCATGGAGCCTGTAGCCTCTTTATTTTGGCCAATTTCTCTCATTTGGAATGCATGTATTTAACCAACACCTGTACCCTACATTGTATCTAGAAAGTAACTAACTTGCTTTTGATTTTATAGGCTCATAGGCAGAAGGGACTTGCCTGTCTCAGATGAGATTTTGGACTTGGACTTTTGGGTTAATGCTGGAATGAGTTAAGACTTTGGGGGACTGTTGGAAGGACATGATTGTGCTTTGAAATGTGAGGACATGTGATTTGAGAGAGAGAGGCCAGGGGTGGAACAATATGATTTGGCTGTATCCCCCACTATATCTCATCTTCAATTGCAGGTCCCATAATCCCATGTTTTATGGGAGGGACTCAGTTGGAGATAATTGAATCATGGGGTTGGTTACCCTCATTCTGTTCTCATGATAGTGAGTGAGTTCTTCATGAGATCTGATGGTTTTATTAGGAGGTTTCCCCTCTTTTACTCACTCACTTCTCTCCCTGCTGCCATGTGAAGAAGGATGTGTTTGATTTCCCTTCTGCCATGTTTGTAAACTTCCTGAGGCCTCTCCAGACTTGGTGACCTATGAGTCAATTAAATCTATTTTCTTTATAAATTACCTAATCTCAGGTATGTCTTTATTAGCAGTATAAGAATGGACTAGTACAAACCCCTTAAGCATTTTTTTTGTAGGGTTGGTCCGATGGTGATGAATTTCTTCAGTGTTTGCTTTTCTGGCAAATACTTTATTTCTCCTTTATTTATAGAGGGTAATTGTGATGTTAAGGTGTCAATTTTAGATCTTTTCTGCTTTCTCTTGTGGGCATTTAGCGCTATGAATTTCCCTCTACACACTGCTTTAAATGTATCCCAGAGATTCTGGTATGTTGTGTCTTTGTTCTCGTTGGTTTCAAAGAACATCTTTATTTCTGCCTTCATTTTGTTATGTACCCAGTAGTCACTCAGGAGCAGGTTATTCAGTTTCCATGTAGTTGAGTGGTTTTGAATGAGTTTCTTAATCCTGAGTTCTAGTTTGATTGCACTGTGTTCTGAGAGATAGTTTGTTATAACTTTTCTGGGTATGGTATTTTTGATTGACAGTTTTTTTATTTTTATTTTTCCCCAGCACTTTGAATATATCATCCTATTCTCTCCTGGTGTGTAAGGTTTCCACTGAGAAATTCACTGTTCGTTTGAGGGACATTCTCATATAAGTAACCAGACCCTTTTCTCTTGCTGTTTTTAAAAATCTTTGTTTGTCCTTGATTTTTGACAGTTTGATTATAATGTGTCTTGGAGGATATCTTTTTGGGTTGTATCTCTTTAAGAATCCCTTTTTGTTCTCATTGTTCAATTCCCACCTATGAGTGAGAATATGTGGTGTTTGGTTTTTTGTTCTTGCGATAGTTTACTGAGAATGATGATTTCCAATTTCATCCATGTCCCTACAAAGGACATGAACTCATCATTTTTTTACAGGAAGGGGAACATCACACTCTGGGGACTGTTGTGGGGTGGGGGGAGGGGGGAGGGATAGCATTGGGAGATATACCTAATGCTGGATGATGAGTTAGTGGGTGCAGCGCACCAGCATGGCACATGTATACATATGTAACTAACCTGCACATTGTGCACATGTACCCTAAAACTTAAAGTATAATAATAATAATAATAGTAAAAGAATCCTTTTGTTTACTATATCTGGATGTCTTTATCTTGCTGGACTTGGGAAGTTTTCAGCTGTTATCTTGTTTAATAAGTATTTTATGCTTTTTGGTTTCTCTTACTGGAACACTAAAAATTTAAATATTTGGTGGCATTGTTCATCCTTTTAATCCTTCTTTTTTTCTGATTAGGTTATTTCAAAGACCTGTCTTCAAGTTCTGAAATTCTTTCTTCTGCTTGATCTAGTTTATTGTTGAAATTCTCAAAAAAAATTTTATTTAATGCAATGAATTCTTTAGTTCCAGTAATTCTTTTTGGTTCTCTCTTATAATATCTTTAGCTTTGGTAAATTTTTCATTCATATCCTGAATAATTTTTCTAATGCCTTTGTATTTATCTGCATTATTTTGTGTTTCACTGAACTTCTTTAATAAAATTAGTTTGAATTATCTTTCTGGCATTTTATACATTTACTTTTCATTGGGCTTTATTGCTGGAGAAATATTGTGTTCCTTTGGATGTGTCATATTTCCTTGCTTTTTCATATTTCCTGTATCCTTACACTGATATCTGTATATCTGGTTTCGTAATTACCTCTTCTAATATTTTGTAGTTTCTTTCATAGGGGAGAATTTTTCCTGAGGGTATATACGTGAGTTGGTTGGGTAGGGAACTTTCACTTTGATCATGTGTGCATGCAGTAGTATAGTCTCTGTATGATTTCTCCAGATGCAAACAGCATAAGTGGTATTTGTGATTTTCTCAGTAGCTTAGGTTAAATGTGTTGATAGAGACTTTGGTGAGGTTTTCCTGTGGACAGGGACATCACAGAGGCTAGTCCTTGGGCTACATTTGTGACAGTGGTAAGATGAATGTGCTTGTCATTGGGCTCTCAGGCAGTGTATGTATGCAACAGTGTTAGCAAGTCCAAGCATGTTGATTCTTGGGCCTCAAGGCTGCTGGCTCAGGGGCTGGTAGTGGCATTAGTGGGCTGGGTGGGTGGGTGAGTCCTTGGCTCCTGGGAAGTGTGCATGGAATAGGAAATGACTGTGATGGTGGAGGGACAGTCCTCAGGATCTCAGGCAACATGCACTTGTGTTATCAGTGAATGTGACAGGTTCGGTGAACAAGTCCTCAGTGCCCAGGTGGTATGTGCTGGTGGGTACTGGTTGTGATGGTAGCAGCATGCTGAGTGGGTCTATCTTCAGTCCCCTGGGAAGACGGCATAGATGCCAGCAGTGGTAGACAGGATGGGATGATCCTCAGTCCTGGGTGGTATGTTTGGGCACTGGCAGAGGAGGTGCCAGGCTGGTTAGGGCTGTCCTCAGGTTGTTGTGGGCATGGGCACAAGCTGTAGTGGGCAGAGTGAGGTGATCCCTACCTCCCTGGAAGCAGTAGCAGCAGTGAGTATTGGAAGACCCTCTGTGGGGCACATGTAAGTGCATTGCTGCCTTGCTTCTGGGGAGTAATTTGGTTTATGTTACTGGCAGCTGTCACGGGCAGTTAGCTCTTAGTCATTGGAGAGTATGGACTTTGCTCTTCAGCAGCAGCAGCAGTGGCAGTGGGGAGACCCAGTTCTCAGGGTGCATGCAAATGCAAGGCAGCCCTGCTGCTTTGGGGGCTGGGTTGCTGTCAGTGGCAGTGGCCTTAGGCAAGTGGGTTTCAGGTTCTGGAAAGTGTCCTTTGGCTTCCTTTGTCCAAGGGCAGCCTCCCTGCTGCACTACATCACCCATTCCCTGGAGTGCATGACACTGTGTGCCAGAGTGATGGAGACTGTACTGATCCACTAGATCCAACCAGGGTGCTGCTTGGCCCTCCAGGGTGACTCAGGGTTATGTCAGTGGGGGTCTAGGGATGTAGGGATGTAGGGATGTAGAGATATAGGGGGCTGTTGAGCCTCAGGGCAGAATTCAGTCTCCTGGGGGCTGGGCTGTCAAAGTGTTGCCATGCTGCAGCTGCTTGACATGGGTGTGTGTGTGTGTAGGACCCAGTGTTAACTTCCTCTTTGGAGCAATGCCTATTAGGCAGCCTCCAGGGATGTTCCTATGCAACTATTAGAGCCCACAAGGGTCAAGAAGGTCTCCCATGGATAGGGTTGTGGGAGTCCATGCTGGGAATGTAGACTGCTGAGGATCTCTCACTCACTCTTTCCTTGCACGGGGTAACCTCTCCAGGGCTTCAGCTAGCCCTAGCCAAGCTGGCTGCCTCACTTTCCTCTCTTTCTGTGCCTTGTGTGTTTACTGTCACTTCTTTGTTGAATTCCAGTATTCTGCCTTAGATACTCTAGTTGACGTGTGATTATATGCTTGTTATTCGGGTTTTTCTTTGTGGAGGAGGCAGGTGTGGAATGCCTTTAGTGATCACATTGAAGAAACTCCCAGCTCTTGTTTTACTATACTTTTCCATGGTGAATAAAATTATCTCTTTAAACTATAGTATAAAACACATTTTTAATAATTATTGTATACTCAAAGGGATGTTCCTCAGTCAAGAGATTATAGCATCATGGTGCCTCATAAACTATGTCCAAATTACTGTGTCACTAGAAATCAACTTATAAATATTGTAATAGCTTAAAGATTTCCCATATCATTTGAAATTATTACAATGCATAAAATATTACCAGAATCGGCCATCAAGTTATTTAAATGCCTGACAGAATTTAATAAGTTATAATCCTTGTTGAAAATTAAAAACAAAAATAGTCATGTTGTATGTTTACAGATGATCAAATGTTAACTATAAGTCAGACACTAATACAAAGAAATAAGTAACCTATAATATTTTAAAACTCTTTTTCATGTAGGTCATATTAATGATGAAAAACCTAATAACATTTATCCCAATGTAAAATTAACCTAGATGTATAAGTCCTTAATTATATCTAGTAGATTTAAAAATTTCCCAGATATTGCAAGAATCTTTATTTCTGGATTCACAGGCCAAAGGAGAGAGTGGAAGAAGTCAAACTTGGAAGATTGAAAAACTGTTTTTAAAAGTAATTCTATGTAAGTACTTTCACAATGAAATAAAATGATATCTTAATGGTTAAGATAATCACACACTTAAAATAATTACTTATAGTGCTTATAGAGTGTCTTTTCATTAAATGTGAATTATAACCAAGAAACATAGTGGCTTTACCTTACATACAGGAAATCATGGAAATGGGAAATATTTCATTAGTTGTTCTTATAACTCTTCCTTAGTTAGAGCTGGAAATGAGTGTTGAAGCTCATTTAAGAGCCTGGGACTTTGGCATGGAATCCTCTGCCTTTTCATTTCATTCAAGCTCTGCCTCTGAAAGCCTACTAAACCCTCCCTGGCCCTTCCAGGATTACTGACCTGTGACTTCTACCACATACCTCTTCTGCTCTGAGCAGTGCTTTTGTCAGAATCATGGAAAATTCACTTAAGAAAGCAAAAATAAGGAAATGAGATGAGCGTTTTTCCTTCTGACCCTGTCAACTGTCCAGTGAGTTTCTGCCAAGGGTGTGTTAAGGGGAGTAGGACATTTATGCTCTTAGCAGACAGTAAACTCCATGTGAAGACATAGGGCTTCATACTTTCTTGCTTTTTTTCCTTGTCTGTCCCCAAGGGCTGCTCAACAGTTAAGGCTGCTGGACTTGAATTCCACCCTGAAGCTTATAAAGTCATCGCTGGGTTACTCTGCTATCAGTTTGGTTATTTCATGGAAGAGAAGGAGACAAAGGGACTTGCTCTTTTGCCAAGTGCGTTGTTCCAGGATGAGCAGGCTAGAGGAAGGAAAAAGAATGCTTTACGCTGCAAGTGCCTGCCTTTTCAGCACAAGGAAACCTGCTGCTATTATTTTCTCTATAATCCACTTTGGTAAAGATACATAATAGACATTTATATAATGCATGTAAAAAGTCAGAAAACCAGAAAGTTCTCTGACAGTAACACCTTACAACCTGATACTGAAGAAAATATCCTTGTAAGATGAACATTGTGCATTTCATAGACATTGCTCTTTTAGTTCCCTAAGCCTAACTGGCAGGCCTAGCATTTCATTACATCTCATATAGCGACTGATTGCTTGGGGCATCATATTCCTTTAAAAGTCATGCCTTTACTGCCTTTCCGTAATTGCATTCTGTGTGTGCAATGATCTGAAAGCTATTTGAGAAGAAGGAGCATAATATTACATATATGTTAGAGAGAAATACCAAACCCCTGTACCATTTCTTGACACTTGAAGGTTTTAATAGTGCTGATTCAATAATAATGTAGTCACATCATTAATTTGTATTACCCTGGTTTGCAATTTCTACAGGCTTTTTAAAAAGAAAAATAAACCCATTTAAATCTTTTATTTGTGGTTAATTAGGTAATTGAAAATGTCAATCAATGATTTACAAAATACATTTCTAAACAAATGCAATGGTTCTTGCAAAACATCCAGCAGTCAATAAATGAATTAAAGGAAAAGAAATTTAATGCTAAGAAGAGCATGCATTAAAATATATGAATCCAGAAAAAAAATTTATACATGAGGAGCAAAACTGGCAGTTTATTAGAGCCTGGCTTTGAAAGTCCAAAGGAAGAGAGGAAGGAGAGCGGCAAAATGACATCAAGGCCATAACCAATATGAGTATAGGTCCAATTAATTTATTGACATAATGAACACATAGTAATAACACTACAGAAGCAGTCAGCTAGGAGGTGTGCATATACACCATTTGAATGAATTCAAAAGAACCCTGTACTTATCATAATTAAATTAATCCTTCTGGGAAAGCAACATAGACTATGGAGGCCATAACAGCAGGCCAGAAGTCATGCATCCAATTAATTTTCTCACCAAAATAAAACATCTAGAATTTTTATATCTCATCAAACTGAATCCATAAAACAGAAATAACTATGACTATCAGGATTGAGTGGCCCTCTTATAACTCTAGCATTTGTGAAGCTCTGAAACAAATTGCCTCGTGGTTTATAAAAAAGAAACAGGAAAACATAAAAATGAAATTTTTAAGTGAAGTGCGTTCTCTCAGCCAAGCAAATTCTTCACTTTTATATCTTTGCTTCTGGATACACACATAAAAATAAGAACCAAAAGAATTAAATTTAATATTTTCTAAATACTACACAGAAGTAAAAGCAAAGTACAGAGAATACTCCAACTGTATTTAAAATGATAGATTAAAAAAAACTTTCTAACCTCTTTTCTTTAATTATGTTTTTAATGCTATTTGCTTTAAGCTTGCACTGCTTTTGTTTACCTGGTGAAAAGGATGCAGACTTTTCTTTAGTCAGGTAGATGAATTTTGTCCTGATATGGTTGTTATATATTGAACTTGCTAAAGTCAATAAAACTTCTAAGAAAAGAAACCCAAAAATTAAAAAGGAAGGGTGATTTTTTTTTTTTTAGGGAAAAACTTAGACTCTAGAAAAATAAGAGAAAACATGTTTTGGTAGAAAAGTTCTTTAGTGTATGCCTCCTATAAAGTATGCTTCCTAGAGTATGCAGAGGAAAAACGTATCCTGGAAATTTAGGAAAATATGGATCTGCATATAACTGGATAACACGTGAATGTGGGTAGGACTTGGGGGTGGGGGTGTTAGATGTAAATGGGAGTTTTCAAATAATAGTTGTGGGTGCCCAGAAATAGAATATGATTAGTCCTAGCAGAATATCCGTTGAATCTGGAAATTAAGAAATGACTTTTCTAGGGTGGTTTCTCCTTGGTTCTTTATCTCTCTGGATCTTTAAGGCTCCGATGAAATCTATGTTATTTGTAGCTATTTGACATATTTGTGCACAACATGCAAGAACAAGAAGACAAGCTTTAATAATAACTCAATAATATTTATTGTCATGCCGACCATCTGCCTGACATTCTTCTAAGCATTCTACCCACAAATTAACTGTTTGCATCCTACCAGCAACCTTATGAGATAAATATTATTTCCATTTTTACAGATGAAAAAACTGAAGCAAGGAGAGGTTAAGTTAGTCTTCCAGCTGCCTACAGCTAGAAATGGTAGAGCTGAGATGTAAGCATTCTAGAATCTGTGCTTTTAGCCACTTCACTTTGCACTTCTTTTACATCAAACCTTGGAGGCAAGATAGCTCTTCTCAGTCTGGATGTAGGAGTTGGCATTACCTTTTTGCCTGTTCTCCTAGCCAATGATTAAGTAGTATAAAAGGCAAGACGAGTGAGACCATCAAATGTACTGGTGGGCACTGGAGTGAATGAGAACGCTTAGGAAAATTAAACTTTAATTGTCACACTGCTCTTTCAGGGCATCTTCAGATTTGTCTAGCCTACAGTTTCTGGAATCTGTGCCCACAGAAACCTGCCAGTCTGAGACCGTTAGTGCATTTACAAAGGCCTCACTAGTGTTTGCCTCTGTCCATCCACACCCTGAAAGATTTTTTTTCTAGTTGCTTTAGATACTAGGGAAAGCACAGGAACCTATCTTGACTCTTGCGTTTTCAAGGAATGAATAATATAGGGCAAGTCCTCTCCAGGGTATTAAAGGGGATTATCTGGTACAATACTGAGAGTGGATGGGGGGAAGATGGTGTGTGTCCTCACTGCGAGGCACAGCACCCCATGGGTGTCACAGGTCCTTGCTATGTACCTTGGTAGGCTGAGCCCCGTGTTAACGTGAGTCTGAATTTTAGGGAGTAGGAGGATATATCTGGGTCTTGAGAATTTGACAGTGGCAAGAAAGAACCTCCTATCTTTCATTCAGCTTCAGGTGCCTGCATCAGAGCTGCCTGGGGGCTCTAAAATAAACATCTTTTTCTTTTACACATTGTCTATCATAGGCGCCTTCTCTTTCTTCCTGACAGGCAAGCAAAGCAAATCTCTATTTTTATTAAAAAACGTGCATGCCTCTCTAGAATAGATACTTAAAGTGGGGATTTTCATTTATCTTTCTTTCTTTCTTTCTTTCTTTCTTTCTTTCTTTCTTTCTTTCTTTCTTTCTTTCTTTCTTTCTTTCTTTCTTTCTTTTTTTTTTTTGAGACAGAGTCTTGCTTTTGTTGCCCAGGCTGGAGTGCAATGGCACGATCTTGGCTCACCGCAACCTCCACCTCCCAGGTTCAAGTGATTCTGCTGACTCAACCTCCCAAGTAGCTGGGATTACAGGCATGTGCCACCACGCCCAGCTAATTTTGTATTTTTAGTAGGGACGGGCTTTCTCCATGTTGGCCAGGCTGGTCTCCAACTCCCGACCTCAGGTGATCCACCTGCCTTTGCCTCCCAAAGTGCTGGGATTATAGGCGTGAGCCACCAGGCCCGGCGTATCTATTGATTTTTTAATTGAAGTATAACTTTTGTGCAGTGAAATGCAGACATGGTAAGTGTGCAGTTTATTCAGTTTTAAGAAATGCATATGCCCCTGTAATGGACACCCTATCCATATCTAGAACATTTAAATTCCCCTGTGCCCCTTCCAAATCAATTCTCATCCCCTCCCTGCCGGAGGCTACCGCTATTCTGGTTTCTTTAAACTTATATTAGTTTTGCTTATTCTAGAACGTCAAATAAATGAAATCATATAGGGCTTCCTTCATTCATTGCATTTTTTTAAAAAAAAATATTAACTCACATTGTTGCATGCATCAGTTGTTTGTCTCTTCTTATTGCTGAGCAGCAGCCCTGGTATGAATATACCAGTTAATATACATATGGATTGTTTCCAGGTTTTGGCTATTGTGAAACAAGCTGCTATAAACATTCTTGTACAAGTTGTTTTTAGACATATATTTTCATTTGTATGAGAGGAATTGCTGAATCATACAGTAGTTTTCGAAGGATGAATAGGACTTGTAAAGGTAGAAGGAATAATATATTCCAGGACAGAAGAATGACCTGAGCAAATGTACACAGTGACACCACAGAGGGGTCAACATCAGTTCACGACACAAGCATCATGAAGGAAAATGCAGAATTGCTGGGGCTCGGCTGGGTTCCCATCCTGGATCTGTTTCCTAGAGAAAGCTCTTATTCTTGCTAGTCATTTCATTAATGACCCTAAATCCCACAGGTGTTTCCATTGCCCTGGAATGATTACTGTGATTATCTTTATTATACAATCCCTCCCATAGAACCATGCTCAGAATGGTGCCTGCTCTTGACAAGCTCCTACTGATATAATTCTGGCTCTGGGACACACCCCTGAGTAGTTTGAAATTTCTCTTAAATTATCTTACTTCTGGTATGAAAATGGCATGAGATGGTGGCCCTGCATTCCTGTTCACAAACTCTAGAACACTCCAGAAGTCATGTCTTTACCATTATTTGTCAGTGTGACCCATCTTTATTTCTTCAAAGGGCATTTACAGCTTGCTTCAAGGAAGATCACTATCTTATGGGTCCTAAATATTCCCGGAAGGGCCCAAATCTCACTTTCTCAGTCAAATAACAAGTTTTTAGTACTACTTCATTGACTAACTCTCTGCTCTTTAGGGATTCATTCATGATCCTATAGCAAAATATGTAAGAAAGTTAGAGCTGGAAATTAGATTTCCTCCCCAAAAGCTAGCAAAAGAGAACTGGATTCAGCGTGTAAACTTAGGGACTTAGGATAGCCTAAAAGATTTCTGGCCAGTAGTTAGAGCTTGTGTATTAGTTTCCCAGGGCTGCTATAACAAGGAAGCACAAACTAGGTGGTTAAAACAATGGACATTTATTGTTTCACCGTTTTGGAGCCAAGAATTCTGAAATCAAGGTGTAGGTAGAGCCATGCTCCCTCTGAGTCCTCTAAAGGAGGATTCTTCCTTGCCTCTTCCTAGATTCTGGTGATTTGTCTGCAATTCCTTGGCTTGCAGCTACGAAATCCTAGTACGCTTTCAGCGTCTTATGAGGCCTTCCATGTATGTCTCTATGTCTTCACATACTACCTTCTTATACATGCAGCTAGCATATTAGATTAGAAACCCATCCTACTCCAGTATGACCTCATCTTAACTAATTACATCTGCAAGGAACTTATTTCCAAATGTCACATTTTGAGGTGGTTTTATGGGGTAGAACTTCAACATACCTTTTTTTTTTTTTTTTTTTTTTTTTTTTGGTGGATAGAGTTCCATGACACCCTAGAATAGGCAGTTTCTCTGGCAATATTTTTAAACAAGAATGCTCAAGCTTTCAACATTATTAAGGCGAGTTCCTGAGAAACAATAATAGATTGTTCACTGTTCTGGGAGACTGAATCTACAGCAGACCTGAAACTAATTCCTATCAGCCATGATTCTGTTATCATTTTTTTCCCTCTAAACAATTGCTTCTAATTATGCCCCTTTGATGTTTACACCTCTCAAATAGCTTGAAACTGAGATTATTTCCATTTCTCACACTTTCAACATTGTTAACATTAGCTGAACAAAATTTAGTCCTTTTAGGCCTTTTTGGATAGTTGGATCCTATAGCACCTTAATAATTGTAAGTTGCTCTTTTCTTCCCTTTTCTCCTCAGGTGGCAGCTTTCCTAGCACTGAAAAATCTCACCTTGTATCTCACATAGTGGGAACAATGATGTGGCCACCTATGCTGTTTGTGAAGGGACTTCTGACACATTTAATTCCATCTAGAAGTTGAGTGTTCGTGTCAGCAACTTTGCTTCTAATGGCTCCAGGGAAATCTGAGTTTTGTTTTTGTAGCTTTTACTTGTACATTTTGGTTTTCCATTCCTGTCACAAAACACAACATGGAAAGAAGCCCATGGTTTCTGCACCTTTTATATAAGCTTTTTGGTGATTAAAACCCTAGGGTGTTGAGTTAGTGTAAATGTTAAAAATGTGTACCTAGAATACAGTAAGAGCTTTCTTTCTATGCATTTTTAAAAAGAGTGTTAGGGTTGTGAATAATGCTGGATTGAAAACTCTGGGAAGCCAAGGCCCCTCTGATTACAGCCCATGTGGTGATATTGTAAGTTTTTTTCCCAACTTTGTTGCATTAAGACCGCTACATCATTTCAGAGAGAGAGAAGAAAGCTCATTTCTCTTTCAGAGCTCAGGAATTCTGGCCACTTAGTAAACAGTAACTATTAAAATGTGGGTATGTATTAAGCATGTCTTTTTATTCAGAGGCTTTGACATCTTGGGGCCTTGCTGACACTGGAAGGCACTGCCCCTGCTAGGTAACTAATCCCTAGAGACAGCAAATGACTGGGCCCCCAGGAATTGTGCCTTTCATATGCAAACCAACCAATCTAGAGCTCAGGCCCTGACTACCTCCTTTATCAGGCTCCCACTAGGGGAACCACTATCTCCCTGCCCTAATCACCCCAGAGCCAGATAGCAGATAATTAGGGACAGCCCAGCACCCTACTAGAGCCTGCCGAAATTATTCAAACTAGCCAATCCTGGACCTGCTCAGCCTGCATATCCTCTCTTGCCCATTCTTTCCCAGGGAAATCCCAATGAAGGCTTTTCTTCCCTGGCTACCTCTGCCTCTTGACCAACCTGTGCTTTCCTGTGTGGCCCTGTGCGGCATGACAGGCCTTCTGCTCTCAGCATCTGTGAGTATCAAAATTTCTTCCTTCATTTAAGTGTCTGTGTGTATTACCATAGCTGATTAAAACAAAACTGGGTACATATAGATTCACTCAAGAGCAGCTGTAATCTAATCACTTTGAGGTGTCCTTCATTGATTATAGCTGAGTCAGGGACTGGTCAATGGTGATTTTGACCAGGCTAAGTCAAAAGAGGAATGGGACCCAATACGTATCTAAGCCTGCTGTCTGCAACAGGAAATCACTGAGGTCACTGAGGCTTATGGTCAGGCTATTCTAAAGGGGGCAATGGTGCATGGAGAAAGGCCTTTCTGAATTAGATGGTCTCGGTCCATTTCTCTGGCTGCTATAAGCTTCTTTTCACAACATTTTCTTCTATTCTGGTCTCCCTTTAAACTATTCACTCCAGATCTGAGCCTAGGTAAGACATACCAGGTACCTAGGACACAGATTTTAAGGAGACACTAATCAGGATCATTCCAGAAATGCCTGGCTTTCCTCTCCCTATTCCTCACCCTGATTCACATTACCAGAGGGATCTAAATCTTAAAAGTCTGGGCTTTGATTCTGAAAAGTGCATTGAGTCTTGCCCTCTAATATATATTAGGCTAAAATTAATAAGAAAAGTACTGTTACATTGCTCATTCAAATATAGTCAGCAGGGTTGCTCCTCTAATATGGATTTCATGATTATAGTAGCAGAAGCTAGATAGAAGTGTCCTGGCATTGTTTTCGTAGATGGAATTTGTTGGGTAATAAACTCATATGTAGTAAAAGAAAGAGGTAGTCAGCCATCTTTTGTGTTACTACAGCACAAGGTTTGTTCCCCTGCTCTATGCAGTTTTATGTGATACTCAAATTGTTTGCTTGTGTGTGATCTTTTCAATTGATGGGCTGTTCAAGGGCAGAAACCATTCTTAGTCCTCTCTGTTTCTCCAGAATCTAGGACATACTAGACATTCAAATACGTACTTACAGGGAAAGCTCTTCTTTGAATGAAACTGTTTTTAGAACATTTTAGAAATATCTATTTGCCATGTGAATATATGGTTCCGTGAAGCTGTGGCGGTTCCAAATCTATCTATCTGTGTATCTGTCTGTCTGTCTGCCTGCCTGCCTATCTCTCTCTCTCTCTATCTATTTGTCTGTCTGTCTGCCTGCCTGCCTATCTATCTGTCTGCCTGCCTGCCTGCCTATCTCTCTCTCTCTCTGTGTGTCTGTCTGTCTGTCTGCCTGCCTATCTATCTATCTATCTATCTATCTATCTATCTATCTATCTATCTATCTATCCATCTGTCCGTCTGTCTATACAGGGCTACTATTTACAGGTCCATAGTATAAAACCTATCATTCTAATAAAGATATAAGGACTTTGAGGGGTGGGGAGAGTATATCTTTTCTGCTTTGCATATTTTGCCCAAATCATTTAACAAGGGATTGTGAATATATTTATTTTACCTCTTCTTGGTAAGGAGAAAAAGAATGATCTACAAAAATATCTATTGGTGAATATTTGATTCAAAATTATTATGTATTCTGCAGTTCATGTGGTAGATATGAACTGAACACATTGGGTACCTCCCAATTTCCTTTTTTAAACTAAATTTCAATCTTTGGGAGTGGTTGCTTTGCCATTATGCATATCTTTTATGTTATGTTTTTAAATTGAGTAAAAAAATATGGAAGGGTAAATGACATAGTCTTAGGATTTGAATGTGATACTTGAACAAAAGCTGTGATATTCACAAGATGCAATGGAGCGTGCATCTACTTATCTGACTGTGCAAACTTATGAGCCAGATTACAATGGCAATGAGGTATTTTTTGCATGAGTGATTCTTCAGGGATTCTTCTAATAGCCATGGTAGGAGACATGCACTTTGGGATCAGAGTTTTTGCTCTGAATAAAATTATGCAATTTTAGTGTCTCCACTAGTCTGAATTCTGACCTAATGACTTCTCCACATACCCAGCTTGGACTGGCCTCTGAATCTTGCTCATTTCTTCGTTATTACTGCCCAACTTTGCCTCACTCACTGTGTATATTCATATGCACTGAATTTTTATGCATCCACCTAATTGATTACTTTTTTTTTTTGAGACTGAGTCTCACTTTCACCCAGGCTGCAGTGCAGTGGTTTGATCACAGCTCACTGCAGTCTCTACCTGTTGGGCTCAAGTGATTCTCCTGCCTCAGCCTCCTGAGTAGCTGGGACTGCAGCCACACACAACTGTGCCTGGCTAAAATTTTTTGTTTTCTGTTTTTTTGGTAGAGGCAAGGTTTTGCCATGTTGCCTAGGCTGTGATTACTTTTTAAAGATAAAATAGCACAGACATATCCCCCTTTAAATATACCATCAATAGATTTATATTCATGACTTTCTTGTCTTTGTTTCTCCTGATGCTTTGTGAAATGTGTCTGCATCATTCACTTATCACAATTTCTCTGTTTTAATATATTTTTAGGTGTACCATCAACTATTTATTCAAAAGATGGCATTTCTAAAGCTAGAGTTTCCTTAGGCAGGCATGCAAAACCAAATATACTCTGTAGTTGTATCTCCTATCTCTCTTCTTGTCTCAATATTCCAGCCAGAACACTGTGCACTGTAGACACAAAGCCACAGGCTCTGCTGTGAGCCTTTGTTTGACTTTTTACCCAGTCATCTTCACCAGTAAATGCTCCCCCTCCTTAACTCTACCTGGCTTCCAAAGTGGAGAATGGTCTAGATCCTCTGGAAGTAATGTGCTTCTCTCTAACTGGGCGTAGGACACGTTGTTTTGTACAAAAATGCTCTTGTGTTTTTTCTCATATTCTGAGATGCCAAGTATCTCCTACATTGAGGACTAAGCCTTACTTTGGTTTCCCAGAGTATTCAACAAATAGCTGAAACGCAGGAGGCATACAGCCAATGTTTGTTGAATTGAAAGGGTTGCTTTGTTTTAGTTGTGTTGCGGTTACCCTGAGCCAAACCCAGTGTTATGATCCCAATCACTGTTTGCGGCCTTCATTTGGCCAGAATTTACCCACTGGCTTCATATTAAAGACAGTACAGTATAGATGTTAAAAGAGTGAAGTGTGAAGTTGTGCTACCTAAGTATATATTCTGACTCTGACACTCCCTAGCTGAGTAAATTTGAGCAAGTTACTTAACTTCTCTGAACTTCAGTTTCCTGACCTATAGAGTTTAGAGAATAATAGTATGCATCTGTCATCATTCCCTAAGTTGTCTACACCCACAGTATTTAAAGTGAAAAAAAAGTGAATTATGGAAATCCACTACATACAAAGAAACACACACAGAGATGCACTTTCTTATTGGCCTTTGGAACATGGACATTACTATTTCTCCATCTGAGATTTACTCTGCTTTCAGGATGCAAGTCAATATCTTTCTGAATTCAGAGTATCATGACTCTAATTAAAAAGAAAAAATAACTTCCACCTTCTTTTCTTTATAGACTTTGTAATTAGGATCCTCCCTTTTTCTTCTTTTTCTGTGCACCTCTTTTATCCTGCCACCCAGTTCAGAAGCTCCTTTCTTTTGATGCCAAATCTTTCTCTGAATAAGGAGATTCTATTAGAATGGATGAAAGTTATGATCCATGCTGGGGGTCAATGAAAATGTAAAAGAAAAACACAGGGATTAGAAGGTTTAACCTATGCAAGGAATCAGTGGTGTTATTCCAGGCAGAAGGACTGGGTAGGTAGAATAAATTTTAAGGTAGGGTGGGTGACAAGTATTCCTCAAGTTATTCCTCATAGTCAAGTCTGACTTCTACTTTCATTTTCTGTGGCAGATGTGTGGAACTCTCATTTTGTTAACTTTCGCTGTCTTTGATATATAACTCATGATTTTCAGAGAAGAAAGGAATGTCTTCCTAATTTGGGAGTAGAGTATAATATAATAGTTAAGACCATACATCTTGAAGCCAAATACCAACTTGGCTACTTATTTGCAAGGTGATCTGTGGCAAATTTACTTAACCAGTTTGTGCCTCAATTTACTAATCTGCAAAATGGAGATGATAAGACTGAGACCTTCCTTTTGAAAGTTAAATTAGTTAAAGTATGTAAAAAATTTAAAATATTGCCTGGGAAATAATTACAAGTGTCACTTTATAATTATTACCACATGAGCTCACCTGTCTAGCAAGGCAAGGCACCAAGTGAATAGGTAGGTCTATTTTCTGGCCTTTGATTTTTAACTTCAAGCCTGACCACCTTCCCCTAGAATGAAGTCAGATCATCACAAATCTCTTTCCTGAAGTCCGTCTTTCATGTAGTTACATGTCTTGTTGATTCCCCTCAATTGATTTCTTGACTCCCATTCAGGAGTCTCTTGCCCTTGGCTCACAGCATCTTCCAATCAAATATCAGCTAATTAAACTTGGATATTCTTGAGCCTCTCCCTACCTCTCAGCTTAGATCATCCTGTGATGAGGAAGGAGGGTTGATGCAAATTGCAACTGACAAGGTGCACTGAAGTGGATGTTTATTGACTCCCACTAACCATGCACAGTCGTAGAGATAATTACCATTCACAGCTCACACACACAGATGGCCAAATTACACAGGTAAGGTGATGAGGGGAGGGCTTTATTTCAACTGGGAGCTTTTTCTCAGAAATATTCTGCTGTGCCAGTCCTTCTATATTACTCCTCTTAGTACTATGATGGCAGCTGTCTTAGTTCATTTGTGCCGCTATGACAAAATACCTAAGACTAAGTAATGTGTGTGTGTGTGTGTGTGTGTGTGTGTGTATATATATATATATATATATATATATATATATATATATATATATATATACTGAAGTTTATTTTATCACACTTCTAGAGTCTGAGATGTCCAAGCTCAAGGTGCCAGCAGGTTTGATTGTCACGTGAGGGCTGCTCTTGGATTCCAAGATGGTACCTTGTTGCTGCCTCCTCTGAAGGGGAGGAACCCTATGTCCTCACAGGGTGGAAGAGCAGTGGGGAGCCAAATGCTGCATGAAACCTCTTTTGTAAGGAGACTTAATCTTCTTTATGAGGGAGCCCTCACAAACTAATTGCCTTTTAAATGCTCCACCTCTTAATACTATCACATTGGTCATTAAGTTTCAGTAGCTGAGTTTTAGAGAGGACACGTTGAAACCATAGCAGCAGACCTCCATTTTCCCAAGTATGAAATATGTGTAGCCCAAAGCATGCCTTTAGACATTTAATCTGGGCCAAGTCTAGTTGCCTCTGGTGGGACAATACTCGGTGTATGCTTCCAAACTCAGAGCCAAGGTTCTGCCTTTCGTGGGGGCCCTGGGAACAGAGGTTGAATGCAGGAAAATAATGAATGTGCTTTTTAGGACAGAAACATTAGTCCAAGTGCAATCCATTAGGCAGTATCCAGGAATGATGCCACAGTTGAGAATTACATAGTACAAAGGGACCAGGAAGAGAGAGAGATTGAGTTGGGGACACAGAATGGAGTAGGCAGCTTCAGAAGGACAGGTGGAAGAACCACCTAGAATTTCTTTAGGTTCTCCATCCTATCAAGGGTCATAGTCTTAGCCAGTGTGGGAAGAAAGTTGGTAGGGACACTGAATTACTTCATTCTCTTTTTTTGGTCTTTCCACTGGGTCTCTGTGAATCCAAGTGATTTTACTGTATACACTTTTAGACTTGTCCATAAAATAAGTCACCTTTTTGTTTTAAAAAAGGATGTTTTTTGATAGATTTTAGTCACAGATTTACTCACCTGATTAATATTCTTTTTTGCTTAAAGAACATAAATATGCACATACACATAACAGAGTATATCAGAGTCCAATACTGTGGCTGACTGTGGCTAGGCCTTTTATAGAAACGTCCTTATATCAGGACCACCATAAAAGCCCACATAGCATCTTTGTGCACATTAGAAAAAGAGTTTATACAGCCCTCACATGAGCACGCCTGGCTTGGGGAGAAAAAGGTAGATTGGCTGTAAGCCTATTCAGCTATCAGCTGGATACATTATGCAGAGCCTAACCCCTACAAACATAGTGGAACCCTTAATTATCTGGTACTGTGCAGGTTGATGTCACACTTCTCCAGCTGAAGGGGATGAGAGCCATCTAGTCTGCTGCACTGGGCTTCTCTGACTGTAGCAAGTTCCTCACTCCAGGTAGATAGCATCCATCCAGGAAATCTGAACATGTCTTGGTGCTGCATGACTAAAACAAAGGAGAGTTGCTTCCACTCTTGGACTCCTTCCAGGGAATCTGTAGCTATTCAATCAGTAAGGCAGCTTACTGGTTAGAAAGTACATTGAATTTGGGAATGGGAGTGAAGCAAAGTCTGAATAGTCATTTCTGCCAATTTCCGAACCTAGATCTGTTATTTTTTTCCCCTTTAACTTGGACACTCATCCTCAATCTCCCTTGAACAGTTTGGTTTTATTTCAATTTACCTCACTCTAAACTCACAGTTACTCCTTAGACCAATAGCTTGTGTTGAATGGAGAATTATGCCCCAGGTTTGGCTCTGCTACTAAAGAGCAATTGGTATGTGAGGCAAATGATTTGCTGCCTCTGAACTTCACTTTTCTTATCTGAAAAATGGGGTGATATAAAGATCCAAAGAGATGAACAGCGTGAAATGCATCAAAAACCATAAAGCACAATACAAATTAAAGACACAATTGAAACCACAAAGAGTTAATTTAGCCTAAAGTTAAAGTAGAGCAATTTACTCATCCATTTTAATATCATTTCTAGACACAGTTTGGACATATGTTAAATACTGAAGAAATATATCATTTTCAACTGTCTGAATCCATATGTGGTTGATTTCAAAACTTCATTGTGTTTGAAAGAAGAATCAATACATTATAACTGCACTAACATTGCTCTGCTGAACTATCCGTGCAGGTTTCTGATGCCTTCATAGAGTACTTCAATTTTCCCATTATATTTTCATTATTATCCCACATGTTTGAAAGGATTCTTTGAGAATTGAGTCACAAATCCCAAATGAATGGTAATAACTATTTGTTTTGATTCAAGCTGCATTTGTTAGCAGGTTCTGTAGTTTTTCCTGGTTCCAGGCTGTCTCTATAAGAGAGACACCAAACAATTCTTCCTAAAACATTCATTTCATCATGTTCCTTCTTAAAGTTTCCCCACTTATCCAGCTTGTATTATTATGAGGGACAGCTAAAGCTCGTCATGGTTTGGATACAGCATTGCTTTTGGTACTTGTCTCTCTGTTTTAGAATATAGCCCCTTTCCTAGCCAGGCTGAGCACTTCACAGTTTCACATGAGAGAAGACTGTTCTCAGTGGTGTCTTCAATCATTCTGACCTTGCCCAGAATGCCTTTATCTCACCGTTGCCATAGCCAGTCTGACCCACAGCACAAGGTCCTATTCTGGACTTTTGGGGGTTTTCCAGTTCTAGTGACCTCTCTCTCTCTGATAAACCTTGACCCTTGGAACACATTGCATGGGAAACCCCTTGATTTCTAGGACCATACTGCCTTTAGGGCAGCGCTGTCAATGCCGAAGTCAAGTCCAGATGGATCCTCAGGCCATGCTGAGTCCTTCTCCTTCACCCTAGACCAATTCTTCATTTGGGTCGAGTGTAACTCCACTGTTAACAAAATAAAGCCCATCAATAAAATACAAACGTACCAACTGCTAATCATAATAGGCTCACGACCAAGAGAAAACATAGTGCAGTTGTAAGACAACAGAGGTCAATGTGACCATGAGGGACACAGGAAATACAGCCAGATGCTGAGAAGGCAATGACAGCAACACTACAGGAAGCTGTCATCATCCTGAGTCCATCATCCTGTTAAAAGAGTACATTCAAGGTATAAATTTAACGATTCTGGTATGTCTTCTTTAAGTTACTCAATATACTAATGAACTGTGTTCTAGGAGGAAATTTTATCTCCTCCTGGAACATATCATCCAGGTTGATAAGATCTCCAAACATTTTGAAGTTTTATTCCACCTGAATCTGCTTACAAACCTGACTGTATCAATGTCAATTTTGAGACAAGGTGAGTATGTAAGTCATCTTTGTTGGATATTTGGTGTGAATACCTGTCCAGCACAATTTCTCCCTCTAAAAAACTCTATACTTTCTTTGCTGAGTTGTTTCTCCTGACTCTGTGTACGTATCAATGGGGATGACTCAATCCAAGACTCTAAGGGTTGGCGTCACCCTGCTTGATCAATCAGTGTATTCCAACTCCTCTGGGCACAGTGATTGGTTGGAGGAAGGCAAGACCTCATCCACATTGGTCCCAAAAGACTCAATGTCAGAAAATGTATCTGAACATATCGGAGTGAGTTACTTGCCCGGCATCCGTTAGGGTTCTACCAGAGAAACAGAGCCAGTAAGATAGCAGATAGATACATAAATTTCAAGTAACTGGCTTACATGATTGTGTGGGCTGACTAGTCCAAAATCTGTAGGGCCCATGGCACTCTGGAAACTCTCTGGCATGAGCTGCTACTGCAGTCCAGAGATGGAATTTCTTCTTCCTCAGGTAAACCTCAGTTTTGCTTTTGACACTCTTAGAACTGATTGGATGAGGCCCACCCCATATTATTGAGGATAATCTGCCTAAAGTCAACTGATTATAGATATTAACCACATCTACACTAGAACTTGCTTTTTAGATGGCACTTGTGTGGGCATTTTCCAAACATCATTGAAGGAAATAAAATTCATAGGAGCCATTTGATTGAATCAGCCAATGTCCAGGTTTCATGTTGTGACTTCAGACCAAGTGCAGATACTCTATGGCCAGATTCTTTTAAGATCTGTAAAATATATTTCCTGAATGAGGTTCCCAAATCAGCATGTCTGCATTATTCTGGTAAGCCAATCTCTTACAAACCTGTGAAGGAAATACCTAGTCCACAATGGGAACTATTAGTTCGTCAAGTCACCTTCCTAGAATTGAGATCCAGTCATGAGACCTGGAATGGCCCTCTAGTCTCCAATGCCTGACTGCAGCTGTGCATTTGATTGACTCCACACAGGGAGAGGTAATGGGGAGAGGATGTCAGAATGCTCAGAAGGGGAGAAATGGAGCTGGGCAAGGTGGCTCACACCTGTAATCCCAGCACTTTGGGAGGCCGAGGTAGGTGGATCACTTGAGGTCAGGAGTTCGAGTTCAAGACCAGCTTAGCAACATGGTGAAACCCTGTCTCTACTGAAAATACAAAAATTAGCTGGGTCTGGTGGCAGGCGCCTGTAATCCCAGCTACTTGGGAGGCTGAGGCAGGAGAATTGCTTGAACCTGGGAGGCAGAGGTTGCAATGTGCTGAGATTGCGCCACTGCACTCCAGCCTGGGCGACAGAGTGAGATTGCATCTCAAATAAATAAATAAATAAATAAATAAATAAATAGTTTTTAAAAAATAAAGGGAGACTGAGGCAGTTCACATGGGGACGAGTCCAGGCTCCAGGGCTCTACTTGCAGGCACTGCTGTCTCTGTTTCCAGTACCAGAGTGGGATTACATCAAACTTAGAAAACTTTAAGGAAGACACTCCAAAGCACAAGGCTCTGCTTGAGACAAGGGCCCTGCTTGTCCAGGTCTAAAGCAGATACTGCTCTGATGTCTACATTTTTTTCATCTGTCAGTGCTGATGATGGTCATAGCCAGAGCACATTTCTTTTTTTACTTTAATTCTGCTATCTCTCAGAATAGTAATTTTATTTCTGTGAATTGTGTATTTTTAAAAAGCACTTCCCACCCCCATCATCACTCTCAACACATGCGTGAGCGTGCACACACACACACACACACACACACGCACATAACTAAATAGGATTCTTGTTAGAATAACTAAATTTGGAGATGAAAAGAGAGGATTAAGTATAGTGCTCATCCTATATTCTCCTCTTACAGTAATTGATATAACATCAGTGAGATTTTACTGGCAAAATTGATTCAAATCAAACCAGAAAAATTCAGCCTCAAGAACTGAAAATGAGCTAAAAGATGGTAAGCAAAGAATAATAATATGTGGCAGTGTCTTCAAATTATTCATATTTTAAGCTTTATATAATTTGAAGTTGCAAAGATGTGTTTAACAAGGGTGGATTTTTAAAAATGTGATGTCTTTGTTAATGATCAGGAAGCAGTACTGAAAACACAATAATGCTATCTCTGTGATGGTAAATTGGAAGGCATTGAAAACATTTGGGAAGAAATATAAATAATACAAATAGAGCTATACAGGTCATAAATATGGATGGAAGAGGGAACAAAGATGTTTCATAAATATACAAAACAATCGTGCATATAGGAAAATATAATTGAAAACAAAGAAATCCTCAGCTAGGTTAATGGCCCTGTGATATCCTTTTCTACTTACTGTCCCATGTGCCATTGGGGTTGGTGTTGTATGATATTCCAAGGGGATGGTCAGAAGTAGTTATATTGATGTTGGGCAATAAATAAAATTGTACTTTAAAATCTTTTTTCTATCATTATAATGTGATAATGTAGCCATATGCCAGTCTTTATGAAATAACTTTCTTTCTCCTTGGATTAATATTTTAAGACTGCCACATTGCACAACTCCTGGAGCTCCATTCATATACTCCCTTCATAGTCTATGCAAATAGTGCTCTCTGGGGATACGCAGTGAACACCCTGTGTAACTCTACACCCTGCCTTAGTTTAAAATAAAATGGGCTCTTTTATTTCAGAGTGTTCCCTGTATCCAGTGATATTTGCATGATACTATATCTAGAATGTAAACAACATCCATTGGGTTATGTCAAGCAATCATTTACCCTGAACTACATAATTATTCAAATACTTGGCATTAGGCAGGCCATAATCTGAATGATTTAGTGATTTACTGACTACTTTTCTGGGAGATTTGAACAGTGCAGATATGTCTTCTGTTACTCTGCAGGTTTTACTGGCTTGTAAATTTTTCACAAAAGTGATTTCTACCTATATATTTAATTAGGTTTCACATTGTTTCACAGGTCACATTGTACCTATTGGCTTCAAATCAATTTACAGGATAAAATGCACCCACTGATTCCAAGCTTGGAAGGAGGTGGCCTCATTATAAACTGTGTCAGGTTAGGTCTCCCAGAACTGTTGGAGTTTGGTGTAGGACTCCTCATGGCAGATTTGGGACTTCAAGCTGTGGCAAAAGCCCATTTTAAGCAAGTATAAAATTGTAATCTCCTGCTATGAGAATCCTTTTATGGATGTGTGCCTTTGCATTACTTTTAAACTATATATCTAATAATCATTCTTAAGAAACTTCTGGTTTCACATATATTGATGAAAATTATTAATTATAGATTATTTTCCTCTGCATTGTATTTCTCTTTTCTGATAGAGTTCTATGGTTAGTTAATTATGAATTAGAACATCCGTAGAACTTGGAGATCTGTTTTGGGGCATTCAGTCAATACAATTCACACTTTGTAAACAGGTTTGGCTGACAATATTGTTATGTCTAGGGAAGGTTGTGTGAACCAACAAGGACCGACCTGCATGAAGTTCAGTAAATTGATGCGAGAGCCCAGAATTACCTGTGTTGCTCTCTTATTATTCCAAGGGAAAGTCATCTGCATTGAGTCTCTGGTTCCCCAACCAGCTGTATGTAGCCCCCAGTGGAGATGGACCCATTAGGCACTCGTAAGCTATTGTCATCGAAAATAAGCCACTCATTACTCTTGGCAGTCTGAGCATATCCTGACTTCTCATGTTATTATTTGGGGAGTAAGAGTATATACTGACAGGACAATGTGAGCCTTCTGACTTGCTTAGCAGTGTTTGTTCTCATTAATTAATGATACAGAATCAGTATTCTACATCACTGGATTATGAATTTACTTAGTTGAGTCATGTCCTTAAGTTCAGTCATCTCTATGTCCCTTGAAAAAATCTGGTGTCTGGATCCAACACTGGAGGTCAGACATTTGACCACGGGGCTCTTACAATATAATTGTGCCCCACACTTCCCTCATACATCCCACCCTACAATATATGAACAGTTTCTACAAATCAATAAAATAAACACATCCAACACAGTAGTAATACGGATAAAAGCCTTAAACTGACATTACACACACACACACACACACACACACACACACAGACCAAATGGCCCAATAAACACGTGAGAAGGTGCACAGCCTTCTTATTCATCACATAAATGCAAATTAACATCATAATTATTTGATACTATGCATAAATCACAACGACTATAGATTCAAAAACTTAGACATATCAAGGGCTGCAGAAGATATGAAGCAACTAAAACATTCAATGCTGGTGGGAATATAAATGTATAAACTGCTATAGAAAAATTTTTGATAGCATTTATTAAAGCTTAACATAAGTTTACCTTATAATCCAGCAATTCTGTTCCTAGATATGTACCCAACAGGAATGTGTACATTTGGGCCTGTTGTGGGGTGGGGGGAGGGGGAGGCATAGCATTAGGAGATATACCTAATGTTAAATGATGAGATAATGGGTGCAGCACACCAACATGGCACATGTATACATATGTAACTAACCTGCACTTTGTGCACATGTACCCTAAAACTGAAAGTATAATAAAACATAAATAAATACAAAAAAATAAAAAAATAAAAAAATAAAAAATTAGCCAAGTATGGCGGTGAATGCCTGTAATCACAGCTACTCAGGAGACTGAGGTTGGACGATCACTTGAGCCCAGGAGGTTGAGGCTACAGTGAGCCATGATCATACCACTGCACTCCAGCCTGAGCAACATAGTGAGACCCTGTCTCAAAAATAATAAAAATAAGGCCAGGCGCGGTGGCTCACGCCTGTAATCCCAGCACTTTGGGAGGCTGAGGAGGGCGGATCACGAGGTCAGGAGATGGAGACAATCCTGGCTAACACAGTGAAACCCCGTCTCTACTAAAAATACAAAAACAAAATTAGCCGGGCATGGTGGTGGGCGCCTGTAGTCCCAGCTACTCGGGAGGCTAAGGCAGGAGAATGGCGTGAACCCAGGAGGCGGAGCTTGCAGTGAGCCAAGATGGCACCACTGCACTCCAGCCTGGGCGGCAGAGCGAGACTCGGTCTCAAAAAAAAATAAATAAAAAAAAAATAAAAAGGCATTCTCATAAAAAATAAAAATAAAAGGAATATTAAACTAATTAGGCTATTGATATGTTAAATTACATGGAAAGCATTGTCAAATAAAAATGATATTTAAAAAAAAAGTGTACATTTGGGCACTAGTAGACATGTGTCAGAGTATAGCGGCACTATTCCTAATAGTTAAATACAGAAAATGACCCACATTTTCCTCAACAGTAGAATGGATAAATTGTGGCAGGTTCATAAAATTGATAAGTAGTCCATGAGAATAAACAACCATGTTATGCAACATAGATGAATTTCAAATATATGATGTTGACAGTAGGAAGGCTTTCATTTCTGTAGATGTCAAAATGGGCAAAATCAACTGAGGGTGATATAATTTAAGATAATGAGGAGCTTCGGAGAGGGCAGTGACTGGAAGGAAGCACATGGTTGGCTTCTAGGTTGCTGACAATATTATTTATATATATATATATATACGTATATATATATATACACACATGTATATATGTGTGTGTGTGTGTGTGTGTGTGTGTGTGTGTGTGTATATATATATATTTTATTTTTTTTTGAGATGGAGTCTCACTCTGTTGCCCAGGCTGGAGTGCAGTGGCACAATCCTGGCTCACTGCAACCTCTGCCTCCTGGGTTCAAGTGATTCTTCTGCCTCAGCCTCCCAAGTAGCTGTATTACAGGCGTGCACCACCACACCAAGCTAATTTTGTATTTTTAGTAGAGATGGGGTTTCACCATGTTAGCCAGGCTGATCTCGAATTTCCGACCTCAGGTGATCCATCTGCCTCAGCCTCCCAAAGAGCTGGAATTACAGGCATGAGCAACCAGGCCGGGCCCAATATTGTACTTTTTGATGTGGGTGGTGGTTCATGAGTGAGTTCACTTCTTGAAATTCTATGATCTGTACATTTGTGATTGGTGAGCTCTTCATGTATCTTCTTTTTCAATAAAAGTTTATACATGTATGTATATATAATATACATATATAGATGACAGAGAGAGCAAGAGCTGTATTAAGAGACTTAGCTGTATTGAACCAGGTCTTAGAAATATAGTGAGTATAAAAGAAGGATGATTTTTCAATACCATCTGCCATTCCTCCAGAATATGCAATCCATCATGTCTGAAAGAGCTCATAATTAAAGTAATTCCAGGATTACATAGAGATTGTTGTGAAGTCTGGAGTCACAGTCAGTGCAGTAAGACCTTTTTTATTAAACAGCTATAAAAATATTTTGGGATAAGATGTTAAATAACTTCATAGATATAAACATGTTGAATCAAAGTTTGCTGAAAAAAGCCTAATTTTAATAATAAACACTATCCTACCTCAAATAAATCGAAAATGTAGTTGGAATATATTGTCTTTTTCCTCCACAACCAAGAAAAAAAGTCTTTTCTTCCAGTAGTAAGAATAATAGGGCACACAGAAACCAACAGAGAGAACACTGAATATCCAGGTGGGCTTTGGGGTAGATTCACAGGCGAAGCAGGGCACAATTATATATTGTGAGGTCCTCATGGTCAATGGTCTCATCTCTATATTTTGATCCAGACACCAGATTTTTTCAAGAAAGGATAAGCCAATCTATGTGATCCATATAGATGAAAATAAATCACAGAAAGCTAAGGAAGATAATCTAGTAATGTATAAAAAGTTAATGTATGATGACAAAGTTGTCTGTATTCCAGGCATGCAAGGTTGTTTCAATATTTGAAAGTCTCCAAGCTTCATCCCATTATCAGGAAATGGGGAAACTCATGATTATCTCAATAGATTCTGAAAAGCTCTTGTTAAAATTTAACATGTATTCATAATTAATAATAAAAAAAACTCTTAGCAACTGAGAATAAAGGAAAAAAAAATTTGGTGTGATGGAGCAGAGTCTACAAAAAAGCCTGGAGTAAAAAAACGAAATGCTTTTTTCTAAGATTGGGAATAAAACAAGGAGGCCAGTATCTCCATTTTTATTCAATATTGTGCTGGAGGTATTACCCAGTGCAATGGGGCATGAAAACCTGAAAGATATAATATTTGGAAGAAAAATTAATAAAAATAACCATTAATCTGCAATATAAAAGAGCACATATGGAAATCTAAAATAATCTAATCACACGATTAAAATTACGAGTTGAATTTGACAAGCTCACTTTTTGTAATTACTATATAAAATCAATTCTTTCTATAAATCAAAACAAATAGAAAAAATTCAAGTGTCACTATTTCCAAAGCAAATTCTTTAAATAAGACACAAAAAGCAGTGACCCATAAAATATTTGACTACTATAAAATCAAGAACATCTGTTCATTAAAACATGCAATCCGTGGATTAAGAAAAGATATTTGAATTCATATATTCAATATTTCTTTCTAGCAATGTCAAGTTTTGTGATCAAGATTATGATGATTCTCTAACATTAGATTAGAAATTTTTAATTCTATTTACCTTTTCAGTAAGAGTTTGCACCATATTGTTGAGGTTTCTGCCTTAAATATTCAGAGAACTTGAAGTATGAAGTCACAAGGATCTGGCGAATACTTTGTGGAAGAGTTTTAAATTATAGATTCTATCTCTTTAATGTATGTAAGACTATTCATATAGTCCTTTTCTTCTTGAATTAGCTGTGATGAGCTGTTTTTCCAAAAGTTTGCTATCTGAAGTTTGGCATTTATAAGCAAAAGTTGTCTATCAAATACTTGTAAGGACCGAGGGGAAAACTTCCCCCTTGCCCTCTGAAGGTTTGTTGAAAACTCAACTCACAAAAAACAGATTAATTGGAGAAAAGCCATACACATTTATTAATGTATACACAGGAGAATCACAGTGATTACTCAACTACTCAAGCCCACACTGGAGTGCAGAAGCTTACATACATCCTGAGGTTACAGAAATAATGGGGGCTCAGAGCATGGCCCAAAACAGGTTATGATGGTAAATCAGGTTATGGCGACAAGATTGATTATGGGAGGAAGAGAAGAAGAAGCCTGTCTAGCAAAGGTGGTCTCCTTATATAAATGAAACTTCACAGATAGCAGCCCTCAGCAAGAATGGATGGTAAACATTAAAAAAAAAAAAAACCTTTAAAGATAGACTCTGAGTTAATCTTTTCTAGGTGGGGACAAGGGAAAGCCTGGCTGTATCAGTGCATATTCTCTGCAGGTGCAAATCTCCCCCTCGAAAGACAGTTTTGCCAGCCTACTTCTGTTTTCTGGCTCTCCTAACAGGCATCTCAAAATATGTCAAAGAAATATATTTTGGGGTAAAATACTTTGATTTCTTTATACTCACATTATCTTTTTAAAGGTGTAATATACACAGTATAGTAGGCCAGATTTTAAGTCTGCATCTCAATGACTTGGAATAAATGTATATGTCTGTGTACCCATTATCCCATTTAAAAGAAAAAATAACCCATCATTCCAATACCTTTCCTTACACTTTTTTTTCTCAGTAATACCTCACTCCTTCCTACAGGCAGATATCCTTCTGAGTTCATAGTTTTGCTTGTTCAGAGGTTTCTTTAATATAACCTAATATTTTTGATATTCATTTATGTAGTGTATACATTGTTTGTATTTTTTATTATTGAGTAGTATTCCATTATCTGAGTATAGAATAATTTGTTTATTCACCTATTGATTTAACTTAGTATAATATATTTATTTGACATCTATTGGTATGTTATTTTACATTTCCTTAAGGACAAATGACATTGAACATCTTTTAAATATATTTCTTGGCCATCTATACATTGTATTTTGTATATAAGTTTATGTCTTTTGCCCATTTTTATTTGTCTTTTTTATTACTGAGTTGTAGATCTATCATGGTTCTTTTTCACTATTGTTTGGCTCTTCTAGATCCTTTACATATTTACATAAATTTTAGAATTAGCCTGCAAATTTCCACACACTGACATACAGACTCCTGCAGAGACTTTGATTGGAATGGCACAAAATCTATGGCTAAAACTGAGGAGTATTCACATCTTAACAATATCAAGTCTTCCAAACCATGAACGTGTTAAAAGTTTTTCCATGTATGTATGTATTCTTTAATTTGAAGGAGAAGTAGTAACATCCTATCCCTGTTTTTGTTTCTGATACTGGCCTTTGGGTGTGTTAATTTACTGTTATACAGTATTTTACCATTTCATTAATTTCTTTTCCCATATTTGTTATTTCCTTCTTTCTACTTTCTTTGAACATTATTCACTATTATAAGATGGACTGTTAGAGCACTGATGCCTCTCTTTTCTGCTTTTCTAATAGATGTATTTATAACCATAAGGTTCCTTTTAGGCAAACATTTAGTTGCATCCCTCTATTCCAAGCCCTCTTCCTCTAAGAAGTCTTTTCACACCACAGTTGCTTTGTCCCCACACCTCCTGGACAATGCACAGAAACGGATGGTCTTCAATGTGTAGGTCAAATGCAGGCTCAAATGCAGTTTTTCCCAGCTCAGAGTTTTGATGTGTTCTGCTATTTGAGTTAGTTTTAAATATTTTCTAATTTTCATTTTGATTCCTTCTTTGATCTAGACATTGTTTTGAACTGTATTGCTTAATTTCCAACATTTGGAGGCTTCTACTTACCATTTCATTATTGATTTCTAGCTTAATTACATAGTGTGAGAGAACATATTCTGACTGATTCAATCCTTTGATATTTGTTGAAACTATGTTGTGTCCCAGGACAACACTAATTTTGGCAAATGTTTAATTGTACTAAGTAGACTATATATTTTCTTGTAGTGGGTGCAATGTTTTCTCTCTCTTTCTTGCAAATTATGTATATTGATTAGGTTTCATTTGGAATTCAAGTTGTTCAGATCATTTAGAATTTACTGGTGTTTTGTCTGCTTGTTCTATAAGCTTCTAAAATAAGTGGGTTAGAATTCTCCACTACGATTGTGGATTTTTCTACTCCATCTCTTAGTTTTGTAAGTTTTGTGTTTACATTTGAAGCTAAGTATATAATATTTAGAATTCCAATATTTTCTTGGTGAGTGAATTATTTTATTACTATAAAATAGCCTTTTCATAAATCTCTGACAGTGCTTCTTACCTTAACGTCTATTGTGACAGATATGAATCTAGATAAATCAGCTTTCTTTTTGTTTATGCCTACTTCGATTCTTTTATTTTTAGCTTGTATATATTTACATATAAGCTGTATCTTTTGTAAACAACGTTTAATATGGTTTGTTTTATTAATCCATTCTGGCAACATTTATCTTTCATTGAGCATTGAAACTATTACTTTTAATGTGTTAATGAATACATATCTTCCAATTATTATCATTTAGTTGCTATTTTTACTACCCATCTCCTATTTTCCTATTTATTTATTTATTTCCTCACTTCTTCTTTTGTAACACACACACACACTTCTACAATTTTCCCATGATCTCACTAGTTGTACGTTCTTTTATTATTATACTAAGGTTGTCCCTTTGGAAAATAACCTGTATTTTTGACTCTTTATGATGTATTGTGATGATAATTTTGCTACTTCCTAGATCAACTGAAACAAACTTTTCTTTTTCTCATGAAATACTCAAAATGATTGTGGAGAATGAACGTGAATGGACATGCTCAAATCATAGATTGGCAAAAGTTCTCATTCAAGTTCTTTTCTGAAAGCATATTTGACGACTTATTCTGTATTATACACAGTGCTGGTGGTATAAAATGAATTAACTATCTTATATTTATTTGGTCCTTGCATGTTCTAGGCATTATCTCTGGTGCTGAAGATACAAAGAGGAGAAGAACTAGATGTGTTCCCTTCCATGCATGCCAATAATATACGCTCTAGTGAGAAGAAAAGAAAAAAAACATAATTATAACATAGCATGTACATGTTTTAACACTACTAAAAACAATGCTACATTTACTGAGCTCCACTATATACCAGGCACTTTCATGAGCATTTTTCATATATCAGTGCTCACAAAAGCCTAATAGGATTAGGTGTTTTTTCATTTTACTAATAAGGATACGGAAATACAGATAGGGTTAAGTAAGTGTTTTACCAAGAGTCACATAGCTGAGAAGCGACATAGAATAAGAAAGACCTTTAGAAATACAGGGGAATTAAATAATTCCACCTGGAATAATTGGGAAGGCTTCACAAAGGAGGAGGAGTTAGCAGAAGTCGGCAGATGTGGTTGAGCTGGCATCCAAAGTACATAGCCTGTGAAATGTGGTAGATCGTGCCTGCGTGTGTGCCTGCGTGCAGTGTGTATATGAAGAGGCATCTGGTATATTTGGAGCTCAGGGTTTCAAAAGCAATTTATAGAAAAAAGGAAGACTTTTAAAGAGAAAAGTAACAGAAGCTGACCTGTTCTGGTCAGCATGTGGTAATCTATCTCTCCTCCTGATTCCTATAAGAATAATATCTAATACAGAGGGCTTACTGTTTGCCAGGTGGTGTAGTAAGCACGTTACATATGTCAGTTCATTTAAACCTCAGAAGAAACCTATACTAGAAAAGATGAGAAAAGGAAGAAACAATAGAGGCACACAGCAGTTGAGTTACTTATCCAAGGCCACATCCCTAATGTGTGGAGGTGTCCAGATTTGGGTCTGTAGCTCTGCTCTGAACCACTGCACGGATGGTGGCTCTGTCTTTTGTCACTCACAGACTGGCATTGTCAGGTGTATTTTAATGAAGGGGTCTTGCTTCCCAGCTGAAACAAAAACACACCAGGGACAGAGACTCTCATCTATATTGTATTGCCATCTTTTCAGTGGTTATTAGAAAGCTAACACTTACATAGTTAGTAAATGAGGAAGGAATATTTGGTGGATGGTAAGAAGTGGGATAAATATGGTACCTGTTTGATAGACTGGCAAAGCAGAATGTGCATGTGTCTGTATATATATATATATATATAGTGTATATATAGTGTATATATAAAAAGCACAAAACAATTTTAATATAATATATATAACACATATATTTTTCTCTTGAATTACTTGGTATCTTTTATTAATTATGAAGATATGAGATTAAAAATTTTAGAGAAATTAATTGCCAGGAATTAAGGAGCTTACTTTCTAAGGTCTGACAGAAACTATAATAATGAAAAAGAAAATCTGTATTGTTAACATTTCTTAAATAATATTTATTTTGTATGAATTTATTACCCAGTGTCCTCAATATAGTAATTTACCTTGGCTTACAGCATATGTTGGGTCAGGATAAGGGTTCCTAGTTGCCAACTTTTCAGGAATAAGCTCTTCTCCATGACTTTCAAGATCTCTTGTTGTCTCACTTCTATATCTGATCTTGCTCTCTTTCCCCACACAGGCAGGGCTTCCTGCCTCCCACTTCACACTAGTGATTCCTCACCTACCTGTGACTTCACCATCACCATTGCTGCATATGTGTACTTGACTTTTTTTTTCAAGTAGGATGACAATCTCAGTCCCTTCACATGTCTTTAGAAGCAGTAGTGCAGAGTTTTAGAATTTCTTTCTAAATCCCGTTTGATCTATCTTTCCTCATTCCTTTCCAGAAGTTGTTACCAGAAAGGGGTCCCAATTCAGATCCCAAGAGAGGGTTCTCGAATCTTGTGCAAGAAAGAATTCAGGGCGAGTCCATAGAGTAAGGTGAAAGCAAGTTAATTAAGAAAGTAAAGGAATAAAAGAATGGCTACTCCATAGGTAAAGCAGCCCTGAGGGCTGCTGGTTTACTATTTTTATGGCTATTTATTGATTATATGCTACACAAGGGGTGGATTATTCATGAGTTTTCCGGGAAAGGGGTGGGCCATTCCCGGAACTGAAGGGTCCTCCCCTTTTTAGACCATATAGGGTAACTTGCCGACGTTGCCATGGCATCCATAAAATGTCTTGGTGCTGGTGAGAGTGTCTTTTAGCATATATAATTAGCATATAATGAGCAGGGAGGACGAACAGAAGTTACTCTCAGCGCCATCTTGGTTTTGGTGGGTTTTGGCCTGTTTCTTTACCACATCCTGTTTTATTAGCAAGGTCTTTGTGACCTGCACCTTGTGCCAGCCTTCTATCTCATCCTGTGACTTAGAATCTGTAACCTCCTGGGAATGCAGCCCAGTAGGTCTCAGCCTTATTTTACCCAGCCCCTATTCAAGGTGAAGTTGCTGTTGTTGAAATACCTCTGACAAAATGAGAAAAGAGTTTGAATAAGAGGGCCAAAGTTTCACAACTAAGTAACAACAGACCAGAGACTTAAGTCTATATCTCATGACCCCGGATCCTTTTTTCACTAATGTGTTTTAAATCTAAACCAGTACCTGAAACATTCATGCTGTGCAACACAGTTCAAACTTTAATAACTTTTGTGCACTGTACCTGCTGATTAAAAGGCCTCTGTATGTTAGTAGTCTCTAGAACTGCACAGTTAATTAAATGTGAATTTAATACTTTGGTCTGGTACTCATACTTTTAAAGAAAAAGGCAAAATACTACACTAAAACCATTCATCATCTAAATAAAAGTAAAAATCTTGTTTAACACAGCTTGTGTTACAATATGAAATAAAGTAACCCATAGTACAGTTAAGTCTTTGCTAGCATTCATTTGTTTTGGTAATTTTGCACAGTCTTGATATTTGGTTCATAAAAGGTACATGTCAACAGAATGAATATCTCAAGTTCTTACAGAATTTGCCTAAATTTTATGCTATTTTGAGGCTTAGGGACATTTCTAATTGAAGTAAAAATATATCGGGATATATCTAGAACAAGAATCAACTGAGAAGTCAGGCTGACTAGAAACATCATTGGTGATCTCTGAGACTGGACAGTAAGTGGCAAACTCTCAGAATTGCAGTGACACCAGAGATAAGGGTACTGGTTTCACTGTCGCTGCTTCCCCCCTACAGGCTTCAGGGAGCATAAATTACAGGATTTTTGTTTGTTTTTTTGTTTGTTTTTGTTTTTTTCCATGTGTGTATGTTTTCTCCTCAGAAAGTATTTGTTTTGTTCACTTATGTGACAGTGTTTTAGCAAAAGACAGAGATACTTCTAACACTCAATGCATCTTCCTCACCCCCAAAACATATTTTGCTATTCAGGTTTCTGATACTTTAAATTCTGATTTTGTGGCTTATACAGATAAGAACATTGTTCTAGTAAAATCAAAATGCTTATCTTCATCTCCCAGGAAAACTTTCAGTTTTCCCGTCTATAGTCATTTCAAGTTTATTGTTTTTTAATCAACTATTTTTCAATAACTCTATCTCTATTTCTAATTTTATAATATACAAATTTCTATCATACTACAATTTAAGGATTCCCTTTGTCTTAATTACTTTTGGGCTATTGCCTAATAAGGGCTTAAAGCGGTATTTCTCTCTCTCTACCTTTCTTCCTCCCTCCACACCCACATTTCTTTTCTCACCTCTCACAACTTGGCAATTGTGTTCCCCAACCCAACAGAGCCTGGAGGCTAACTCTCTGGAGAGGTTAAACCAAAATAAGAGATTTTGGGGCATCAGACAAACAAGAAGGTAAGATGTCAATAAGAAAATGAGGAGATTAAGGAAAAGTCTATACTGAATAACGAGCCCTGTAGACATCTTTTTGGTGTCAATTATTCTGCCTATCACAATTATATTTTGGACTTTGAAATCTCTATTAATGGAAAGTCCAGATAAGAATATTTGTTAATATTGTTTATTATCAAGACTGAAATGATACCTGATAAAACTACACTCTACTTGAAAAATTAGTTACCTGATTTTATGCCAGACTTCTTGAGTCAAAAAAATCTGGGACACCCAGTACAAATATTTAACAGTATTTCAAGGCATTCTCTACACTGGGGATCCATGGAAATGATAGAAGTATTTGTTGAGGCAGACTGAGCATGATTCAAGATAAGAAATATGCCCTAGCAATATATTTAAGAAGTGTGCCATATGTATGAGATGTAATATGGGTCTCGTAGCATAGATATCATACTCTCAAATATGGACTCTTGAAGCCCACTGGCTGAATTCAAATTCTTGCTCCATTTATTTCTCATGTAACCTTGAACCAGTCATCCAATTTCTGTCTTACTAATTTTCCCCAATAGGAACTGGGGGAGGGGAAGAGAATAGTAACTATCTTACAGTATCATTACAAGTATTATTTAAGATAAAATATGTATAAAACTAAGAACAATGCCCAGTTATAATAGATGTTTGATAGAGGGTAACTGTATTTACTATATTAATAAATCTACAAAGAATTATAAAGATACATTGGATTCTTAAATGCATATCTGGTCACTTTTTAAAAACATATTTTATTTATAACCACTGCCCAGTGTGTTGGCTATTAAAATATTTTACTTTTTATCCTTGTCTGATTCATCTTCCAAGGTCTTATAGCTACCTTCTCACATCGAATCATATTTCATCTTCTTTGAGGTTTAGGATGGACTAAAATATCTGTTTCTTTTTTCAGAAACCTTTTAATAAACCTTAGTTTATGTGTGTTTTCTCAGAGCATCAGAGACAGTGATATATGTCAATGACATGCATAGCCTTTGGAATTAGGCTACCTGGGTTTAACCTCTTATAAATTTTGTGACCATGGGCATTTTCTGTGAACTATTGAGCCTTCGTTTTCTGACTCGTGAAATGGGATTTTAATAATAATTTTGATGGGAATATTAAATAAAACAGTACATTTAAAGCTCTCTGTGTAGTATCTGCCAAACAGTAAGTACCCAAGGGATGTTCTTAATGGAGCCAGCTGAGGGCAGGGCCTCGGCCAATCTTAGAGTCTAAGTCATTAGTGACCCATCACCTGGAGACTAAGGCTGCTTGTGGGAGGGGACAGAAATATTCAGAGAACATTTGACATTTAAACTGCACTTAAGAGGAAAATAGGACTTTTCAAGGCAGAAGAGAGGTGGTTAGAACTTCTTGAAAATAGCATGTACCAACACAATAAAAAGTATGAAATACTGTAAGTTGCCCAATGTAGCAGGCCCCTGGCTGGGGCTATAAAGAGTGGCTGGGCTCAAGTGTGAGCCTGGATAGCAGAGGATGCACATTCTTTGTATGTTTGCTCATTGGAGCATTTGTTTCCAAAGAAAATGGTGAATATTATAAGAAGGAGAAATAATAAGTTACCATTATTTGCTTTTTGGAGAATTACTATGCTGATATATTAATGATACTAAAATTGGGCATAATTTTGAGAGCTGAATCTTGGTTTGTTTGGGAGACTGTAGATAGATTTTTCAGCCATTGTCAAAATTTATGAGCACATTTATGTTTGTCATAAGCAGGAATGAAGGGGTGGATTGTAGCTTTGCAGCGTTTTTCTTTGTCATTGCATCCTTTACTTCTGGAAGCCCGAGACTCAGGACTTCCTGGCACTCAGGATCCTCCCACATCCTCCTCAGGCTCTCAAGGTCCCAGATGATCTCCTTTTGGTTACATCTTTTTTGTTTTCCAAGCTCTACCCAGGGTCATACCCTCAGCCAGCAGTCACAAAAGATAAGATCCAATCCCATTGCCTTGAAATATAAGTGATCGGTAACCTCAACAATATGCCCTCAAACCCTCCACACACACACAAACAGCACAAATCTTACATTTTATCCATAATTTTAATTAATGATATCATGAATGGCAGTATGACAGAAGGAGTTCCACATTGAAATAGGGAACCTCTCAAGATGACCTATCTGGACCGATTACTCCTCTGAGAAGCACCACCAGGAAAGGCCAGACTGCAGCTTATAAAGTAGCTTTCTTGATAGGAGGCTGTCACAGAATCTCTGGTTCCCAGAATTTCTAGAACCCAAGAATGAAAGCTCAAGTGCCCACTCTTAATTCTTAGTTGTCAGAGCACTAATTGCATTACTTTGTTCGGAAATGATGTCCAAGAAAGCATAACGGCTAAATGTTTGGACTTAGTAGACAATTTTCTCTTGTCCTGAGCAGAGGTCAGCACCAAAGAAGCAGCCTCTGAGTACCAATGTAGACAAAAAAATTTTGTTCAGTCAAATGAAATATTTATCATTTTAAAGTCACTTTAAAGTGATATTGATATAAACCAATTTTCCTTAAAATATGTAAAAACTAGGAACTCTAGGAATCGTTTGTGCATGATTCTGGATTGTTGCATAAATCGTGAACTCTCTGACACTATTTTTTTTTTTTAACAACAGTAACTAAATTTTACCACTGACAATAGGTACCTGCCTGGTTCTTACCTTTGGCTTTCTTAACAGGGTATTGATAATTAATTGCATCAACTCTACTACTTTAATAAAACTGGTCATCCACAAAGCAAATATGTATTGCTTAATTTTCATTTTGAGAGTGGATAACCACTGAAAATTAATCATCCATAGAAAGGGAACTAAGCAGCACTTCTAATCTCTGAAAAGATTGCCAGTCTATTAGAGTTATATGCTTTAATCAATTCACATATAACTGTATAATTTATAAGCTTCAAATTAGATCAGCTATCTATTAGACCTAATAAAATGGAAATGTATTAATCAGATTAAAAATATAAAGAAGAAAATTAGCAAGGAATGGAATGTGATATCCCTAGAAGAAAGAACAATGACAACTGTTAGTGTGGAATATGAATGGGTTAAGCTGATTTACTTTGTTTACAGTAATATGGTTTGACTTGAGAGTTCTATAGCTTATATATAAAAGTTTAAAAAAGGTTCTTCTTGGAAATGATATGAAATCTAATATGCATGAACAAAAGTTCTTTATATTATCTATTACTGCTAAGAAGAAAAAACATCTATTGGGTCCTTATTCCATGCCAAGTGTGGGACTAAATCTGGATGACATAGGCGTATACTTTAAGACTCGTATTTTTGTTGAGCATACTTTCTAAGTTATAGATACAATTAATACAATTTTTTTTTTCTTTCTAGATATCTAGATCAAAGAAACACTTTCTGGTTAAGTTTTTCTAGTGCTTCAAAACCATAAATATTTCTCAGGCTTAATTTGACAGCAAACCTTGAATGCTAATTAAGAAATCGTTTCAGTTTTATGCCATGTTCCTTCATTTTCTCTTTGTGCCCCTGAACTCAACAGCTTAGTTTATGCCAGCCCCTTACTGAACCACCAGAAACAACAACCTCCAGCTACAAGAAAAGTAACAGTAGAAATAAAATCATTTCTGTAAAAGTATTCTATGAAGAATAATGTTTTGCGGGCCAGGCGCGGTGGCTCACGCCTGTAATCCCAGCACTTTGGGAGGCCGAGGCAGGCAGATCACGAAGTCAGGAGATCGAGACCATCTTGGCTAACACGGTGCAACCCCATCTCTACTAAAAATACAAAAAAAAATAGCTGGGTGTGGTGGCGGGCGCCTGTAGTCCCAGCTACTCGGGAGGCTGAGTCAGGAGAATGGCGTGAACTCGGGAGGTGGAGCTTACAGCGAGCCGAGATCATACCACTGCACTCCAGCCTGGGCGACAGAGTGAGACTCAGTCTCAAAAAAAAAAAAAAAAAATTAATAAAAAAAAATTAAATTAAAAAAATCAGTTTTGTGTTTTAAAATATTGTTATTTTTATGTTTCTCACAAGTAAAAGAGTTTTCCACCTGAATCAAACTGAAACAAATCATATAATGCATCTGACACATAAGCAGCCGTTACTTACACATCAGAATCTTTATAGCATCTACTGTGATAAAAACAAAATGATAGTTTTTTTGGTAGTCACGTCACTGTTGGTTTTGTCATTTGAAGTTTGGACATCCTTCTCCAGCTGTTTCCAAAGGGATGTCTGCAAAAAGCAAGTATGTCTGCAAAAGCAAATATCAGATATGTAACCTCCTCTGAATAACTCAGTTAACCTGGAGTGAGTTTGCATGTGATTGAAAGATATATCACTTATTTTGCATTTGTCTTGCAAAGAACTGATGGCCACTAGAACTTTAGCTTTCTTTAGCCACTCTGCATCAGTATTCAACAGTTATTTTTACAGTTTCTTTTAAAATTGTTTTTCTAATGTTACAAATTTTCCTAATATTGCAGTATGTTTGTACCCCGTATCAGATAATATCACATGTATATGGAATTCATTTAACATTCTCTATTTTGAAATAATTGAGTTTATTTATTTTAATTTTTTATCATGTTTAGTATATAGTCACTTTTGTTTGGAAATACTTTTTAAAGAATTCAGAATAAAAATATTTGCCTAGATTATTCTAGATACTTGATGCTCTTGATAAATTGCTTTTAAACCATCAATTTCCAGAAAATAGAAAAGCAGGGAATATTTTCTAATTCAATTTTTGAGGCCAGCATTGTACTAAACACATAAACAGATAAAGACACTGTAAGAAAAGAAAATACAGACTAACATGCCTCATGAAAACACTTACAAAAATCCTCAACAAAATATTACCAAATCAAATCTAGCACTATATGGAAAGGATAATACAATGACCAAATGGAGTTTATCTCATTAATTCAAGGTTGGTGTAACATTTTAATATCAGTCAATGAAATTCACCATTTTAATATATTAAATAAGAAAACCATATGATCTCAATAGATGAAGAAAAAGCACTTGAAAACAAAAAATGTGATAAAATTTCACTTATGATGGAACTCTCAGCAATCTAGTTACAGAGGGAAACTCCCTCAACCTGATAAAGGAATCTATAAAATCTCCTTAGCTAACAACACACTTAAAGTGAGAGGCTGAATGCTTTCCTCCTAAGGTCGGGAAAACGCCAAGGATGTTTACTCTCATGAGTTCCTAATCATCATCATACTGGAGGTCCTATCTAGTGGAAAAAGGCAAGAAGAATAAATAAAAGGCATCAAGGTTGTAAAGGAAGTAATTAAACTCTATTTACAACTGATATAATTGCTTACTTAGAAAATCCTAGATTCTACAAAAAAGCTACCAGAACTAATAAGTGCTTTGAGCAACGTTTTGGGATATAAAAATAATATTAAAAAAATTATAGTTGACCCTTGAACAACATGGGCTTGAACTGTATGGGTCCATTTAATAAGGAAACATACAGATTTTTTCCAATAAATACAGTAGGCTCTCCATATCCTTAGGTTCTGCATCCATGACAAAATGTGAGTGGAAAATACAGAATTCACTGGATGCAAAAGCTTCTGACAGAGAGGGCTCACTTTTTATACTTTTCTTGTACGTGAGTTTTGCAGGGCTAACTACAAGACTTGAATACACATGGATGTGGGTATCTGTAGGGTGTACTGGAACCAATCCGCTGCAGATACTGAGGACCAACTGTATATTTCTATATTTTAGCAATAAACACCTTAAAATCAAAATTAAAATTTTATAATATCATCAAAAGCATGAGTTATACATAAAGCTATCAAAATATATGCAAGTTCTGCATGTTAAAAACTGTGAAATACTCAGAAGACAAAGAAGTCCTAAATGAATGGCAACTTATGGTTTGTTAATGGTTTGGAAGGCTCAGTATTACTAAGGTATCAATTCTCTCCAAACTAATATATGGATTCAACATAATATGTGTCAGAATCTCAGGACTTTTTGAAGGAATTGACAAACCAATTCAAAAATGGAAGCATTGTATATGAAAATGCAAAGGATCTAGAATAGCCAAAGCAATTTTGAAAAATAAAAATAAAACTGGAAGTATTATACTGCCCAATTTTAATATTTATTATAAAGCTATTGCAATTGGGACAGTGTGGCATTGGTGATAGTACAGAGACACAAATCAAGTCAATGAAATGGAACAAAATGTTCAGAAGTCGGACAACTATCTATATATATTTCACACACAGACACGTTGTGTATGTCCCTATATATACATGGACAACTGGCTCTTGACAATGGTTCAAAAGCAATTAAATGAAAAGGACAGAGTTTTCCGCAAGTAGGTGGGGAAGCATTGACATCCACAAGCAAAATATAGATCTCAACACCCACTTAATGAAAGTTGATAAATTTTAAAACTATAGGAAATATACATAATAACATATCAAATACACAAGTATCTGCCAGCCAGAATGAAGTGTGAACATTTTATTGCTTCTGCTTCAGATGTCATTTTACTTCCTTTAAAAAATGAAAGATGTATTACACCATTCTTACATTGCTGTCAAGAAATACCTGAGGTTGGGTAATTTCTAAAGAAAGAGGTTTATGTGGCTCACAGTTCTGTGGGCTTTACAGGAAGCAAGGTGCTGGCATGTGCTCAGCTTCTGGGGAAGCCTCAGGAAGCTTACAACCAGGGCAGAAAAGTGAAGGGGGAGCATGTGCATTACATGGTAAAAGCAGGAGCTCGAGAGACAGTTGGGGGTAGGTGGCATACACTTTTAAATGACCAGATTTTGTGTGAACTCAGGGTGAGAGCTCACTTATCACCAAGGGGATGGCCCAAGCCATTCATGAGAAATTTGCCCCCACAATCCAAACACCTCCCACCAGGCCCCACCTCAAATACTGGGGGTTAAATTTCAACATGAGATTTGGGCCAGGACAAATATCCAAACTGTATCAAAAGTTATATAACATTATGGAAGACAGTGAAGTCCTCTTTGTTCCTCTTTGCAATTGCATTTTCTTACCTCCTTTCCCAGAGATGAACACTATCCCAAATATGATGTGTGCCCTTATTGTTCATATTTTTATTATTTTGTCACTTATATATCCATAAGTAAAGCATTGCTCTGTGTTGTTGTTTTAAAAATGTGTATTAATGATGTCATAGTATAGGTACTATTCCAGAAGTTAGTTCGTTACTCAGTACAACTAATCCTTGAACAACTCAGGGGTTAAGGGGACCTATCCCCACACAGTTGAAAATCATCTGGATATGTGATTTGACTTCCCCAAAACTTAACTGCTAATAGCTTACTGTTTTCCGGAAGCCTTACCGATAACATAAACAGTTGATTAACATGTTTTGTATATTATATGTATATATACAGTATTCTCACAATAAAGTAAGCTAGGGAAAAGAAACATTAAGAAAACTATAAGGAAAATATATGTTTACTATTTATTATGTGGAAGTGGATCATTATAAAGGTCTTCTTCCTTGCCTTAACCTTGCGTAGGCTGATGAGGACAAGGAGGAAGAGGAAAGGGTTGTCTTGCTGTCTCAGAGGTGTCAGAGGCAGAGAAAATTTGTGTATAAGTGGACCCATGCAGTTCAAACCTGTGTTGTTCAAGGGTCAACTGTATTATATTTTAAAAATATATCTATTTTCATATACATTAATCTAGTTTTTATTGCTGTATAAATTGAGTGAATGCACAATAATTTATTATTCATTCCCATAACCAAGGACACTGCTGCAATGGATATTTTCATGCGTATCTCCTGTGGTGAATATGTACAAGAGTTTCTCCTGAGCATATATTTAAAATCAGCATTGCTGAGTCACAGATTATGTACCTCAATATACTCTGATATTGACAAGTTGCCCTCTAAAATAGTTTACCATTTTATTCTTCCACCAGCAGTAAATGAGAGGTCAGTTTTCTTTGTCTTTGTCAAATCTTAGTGGTGTCAGAATTTTGACTTTCCTAATTTAATCTGTATTAGATAATATCTAGATAATTGTTCCTGATTACTAAGGAAGGTAGGTATTTATTTATATATTTGTTGGACTTTGGTGTTTGTTCTTTTGTGAGCTGCGTATTTAAAAACAAACACAAACTTAATTATGAAAAATACATACTGAGAACTGTGTCCTTGTAGCTTAAATAGCATGACTGAGAACTGAGACCACCTATGTCAACATGTTTACATTATTTCTTCCAAAAAATTCTCGCCCTAGAAGATGAAGCTGTAATCCAATCAATATTCTCACCATTTGCTTCAGGAAATTCTTGAACACCAATAGGTCTGGACTAAGAGCTGGCTCATCTGGGAAAATGGTTGTCCTACAAAATATTAGATTGCTCACCTGGGTAAACAAGTAGGTGGTCAAACAACAGTTTACTTATCATTACTCACTTCAAGATCATTGCCTCTCTATACCCACTGTAATTTTGCCACAGACTTCTCTCAAAATCAAGGAGTGTGCAACTTGAAAGAACCACCTAAGTCACTGAGCCGAAGTCCTAAAGCCTATAAATATCCTTCTTGATACCCTTGTTCTGAATCACAGCTATGACTGATAAGTTGATGCTCTCCCTCACTGCACCATTTGGTCTTGATTGATTGAAAGATTTATTGGTGGTCTTTTGAGAAGTCAATAAAATACGGTGCTCATTTGCAAGAAGTCATCGTACAACACATGCTTAAGAAGTGAGAAGTTGTGATCTGCCTTTATGAAGGAAGAGTATCTCCATGAATTATTTGGAATACTTCTACATGGATTATTTGTTTATTCTCCCACATTCATTTATTTATTCACTGATTTTTATAACAATATGTGCTCATGGGTATTCATGTTATTGGTTTAAGATCTAATACTGCTTTCTTTTGATGCTCACGTTGTTCTAGCTTTGAATACTGGGAGTTCTTTCAGTTGACTCTTTTGTCCCTTTCACAAACTCACATCATTGTGTATGTGTTTAGCACTTCCTTACTTTCTGGCACCACAACCTCCCACAGGGGTATCTTGTATATTTCCTGTTCCAGTCCCAGAATTGTTCATTTATCTAAGGAGCCCTGGATCCTTCTCTTAGAGAGCAGTATTGGAAACCAAATTCGAGGTGCTATTATGCTGGCTGCTCTTGGGGTGCTGTTGCTTCTAGTCCCATTCAGCTGACAGAGCAAAAAAAATGTGTGTATACTAGCCCATGTATATACAACTGTCTATAAATATTTGTATATGTGCCTATCGGTATCTATATTGAGCTAAAAGGGAATTTATATAGATGTCTCCAATTCTAATCCAGTACCATGTGATAATTCTAGCGTCCTTCCCCCTGCTTATATCTTTAACCTCTGACTTCAAAAATGGGAGAAACCTACCTGGTACCATCTATTTTCTTCAAGGTTCAATTTCAGTGTATGTATATAGCAGTAAAAGAGTTGTTAACATGTATCCCCATGGGAAATAACTTTATCTATTAGAAAACAATGGTTATGTACAGTTTATATTGCCTTTCATCCTTTAATTTTAGATTCCACTCATTTACAAAGTTACTTATATCAGCACCATCTCCCCACTCCATCACTGAGGTTATTTGATATGTTTGCAATACAATTAGATTCTTTGTTACAGTCTGCACTCCAGCCTGGGAGCCCTTGGCATCTTTAATTATTTTTTAATTTGTGTACAGTAAGATTCAGTATTGCACTATAAAGTTCTCGGGTTTTAATATATGTATTCCATCATGTATCCACCACTGCAATATACAGAATGGTTTCACTGCCCTAATATGGTCCTTGACTTTTTCAAACCTTCCTCCAAACCCCTGGCAAACACTGATCTTTTAACTGTCCATAATTTTGTTGTTTTCCACAATGACGTATAATTGTAATTTTATTATATGATTCCGTATGTATGTAGCCTTTTCAGACTGGCTTTTTTCAATTAACAATATGAGTAAGGTTCATCCATGTCTTTGCCTGACTTATAGGTCATTCCTTTACTTTACCTAATGGTATTCCATTACACACGTGCCACAATTTGTTTACGCATTCATCTATTGAAGGATATTTTGTTGCTTCCAGTTTGGGCTATTATTATTATTATTATTATTATTATTATTATTTTTTTTTTTTTTTTTTTTTTTTTTTTTGAGACAGAGTCTCTCTCAGTCGCCCAGGCTGGAGTGCAGTGGCGCGATCTCGGCTCACTGCAAGCTCCGTCTCCCGGGTTGACGCCATTCTCCTGCCTCAGCCTCCCGAGTAGCTGGGACTACAGGCGCCCGCCACCATGCCCGGCTATTTTTTGTATTTTTAGTAGAGACGGGGTTTCACCGTGTTAGCCAGGATGGTCTCGATCTCCTGACCTCCTGATTCACCCGTCTCGGCCTCCCATAGTGCTGGGATTACAGGCGTGAGCCACCGCGCCCTGCCTAGTTGAGGCTATTATTAATAAAGATATTCTAAACATTTGTGTGCAGATTTTTATGTGGACATCATTTTCAAATTAATTGGGTAGATCTACATAAGAACAATTGCTGGATTGTATGATAAGATTATGTTTAGCTTTGTAAGTAATTGCCAATCTTCTGCTCCCACCAGCAATCTTTCACTCCCACAAACAATGAATGAGACTTCCTTTTGCTTCACATTCTCACCAGCAATTAGTATTGTCAGATGTTTGGATTTTAGCCATTCTCATAGCCATGCAAAGTATGTATATGAATGTTTTAATTTGCATTTCCTAATAAAAATGATCTTGGGCATATTTTATACCCCATTATTGCAAGACTTTATGCTTAAAATTTTAATTTAATTTTTATTTTCTAAATTTA